>NC_000011.10:38999393-39150909 GCF_000001405.40 Homo sapiens | reverse complement strand
CTTTTATAGGGTAAAAGGTGTTTTTTTTTTTTTTTTTTTTAGTACTTTATGTATGTCATGCCACTCTTCCTGGCCAGTAAGTTTTCCACTGAAAACTCTGCTGCCAAATATATTGAAGCTGCTTGGTATGTAATTTGTTTTTTTCCTCTTGTTGCTTTTAGGATTCTTTCTTTATCCTTGACCTTTGGGAGTTTGATTATTAAATACCTTCAAGTAGTCTTCTTTGTGTTAAAACTGCTTGGTGTTCTGTAACCTTCTTGTACTTTGATATCGATCTCTCTCTCTCTAGGTTTGGGAAGTTCTCTGTTATCCCTTAATAAACTTTCTATTTATCTCTTTCTCTACCTCCTCTTTAAGGCTAATAACTGTTTTTTTTTTTTTTTTTTTTTTTTTTGAGTCAGAGTCTTGCTCTGTTGCCCAGGCTAGAGTGCAGGGATGCAATCTTGGCTCACTGCAAGCTCCGCCTCCCGGGTTCACTCCATTCTCCTGCCTCAGCAGGCGTCCACCATCATGCCTGGCTCATTTTTTATATTTTTCGTGGAGACGGGGTTTCACGGTGTTAGCCAGGATGGTCTCAATCTCCTGACCTCGTGATCTGCCCGCCTCAGCCTCCCAAAGTGCTGGGATTACAGGTGTGAGCCACTGCCCCCGGCTGGCTAATAACTCTTCTATTTGCCCTTTTGAGGCTATTTTCTGGATTCTGTGGGTGTGCTTCGTTAATTTTTATTCTTTCTTTTATCTCTTCTAAGTGTGTATTTTCAGGTGGCCTTTCATTAAGCTCACTAATTCTTTCTTCTGCTTGTTCAGTTGTGCTGTTAAAGAACTCTGATACATTCTTCAGCATGCCAGTTGCATTTTTTTCAGCTCCAGTGTTTCTATTTGATTCTTTTTTAGTTATTTCAATCTGTTCATTAAATTTATCTGATAGAATTCTGAATTCCTTCCCTGTGTTATCTTAAATGTATTTAAATTTTCTCAGCACAGCTATTTTGAATCCTCTGTCTGAAAGGTCATGTATCTCTGTTTCTTCAGGATTGGTCCCTGGGGCTTTATTTAGTTCATTTGGTGAGGTAATGTTTTCCTGGATGGTGTCGATGCTAGGAGATATACTGGTCCGCACTGTCTGAGCTTATTTGTATTCATCTTTCTTGGGAAGGCTTTGCAGAGATTTGAAAGGACTTGGGTGTTTTTATCTAAGTTGAGTCTGCTTTAGGGGTTACATGAAGCCCAGTGACACTGTGGTTCTTGCTGACTTATAGAGGTATGATCTTTATGGTCTTGAACATGATCTGGGAGAATTCTCTGGATTACTAGGCAGAGACTCTTGTTCTCTTCCCTTACTTTCTCCTGAACAAACAAAGTCTCTCTCTATGTTCTGAGCAACATAAAGCTGGGGATGGAATAACACAAGCACCCCTGTGGCCACCACAACTATGACTGCAATGGGTCAGACTTGAAGCCAGCACAGTGCTGGATCTTGTCCAAGGCATGCTATCACCACTCCCTGGCTATTACCTATGTCGTTTGCTCTAGGCTCTGGGCAGTGACACAACAGTGGCAATGGCAAAACCAGGCAGGCCTGTGTTCTTCCCTTCAGGGTGATGAGGTTCCCTGGGCCCTGGGTGGTCCAAAGATACTGGGAGTCAGGAACTAGAGTAAAAACCTTAGAAGTTGACCTGGTTTTCTATGGTACTGCAGCTGAGCTAACACTCAAAACACAGCAGGCACTCCTTCCCACTCTTCTCTCCCCTTTCCAAAGGCAGAGAAGTTTACCCTGTAGCCACTGCCACCCTAGGCCATAGGTGTACTGCTGGATTGCCTCTGATGTTCCCTTAAGGCCCAAGGGCTCTTAAGTCAGCTTATAGTAAATGATGCCTGGTCTTGGACTCACTCTTCAAGGTCGAAAAGGTATAGGAGTCAGGAAGTCTTTGCCACTGGATACTATACTTATTTTTTTGGTGTTCTGGAACATAAGGTATCAATAAGCATTCCTAATTATCTCTCAATATAAAATGAAATGCATAAAAATCTCCTTATAAAGTTATGCTAATTATTACATAAGCTTCCTTGTTGTACCTGCTTCTCAGTTTCTTGAGAATCATCAGCCATCACCTCCAGTGATCAAGTAAGAAATATCCAAATAACCAATATCTCTGACAGGTATTACAGTAGACTTAAAAACCTGAGGTTTATTTATTTTGCTCACAGATGATGGATATTGGAAACTTCATTAATTCTTAAGAGGCCAGAAAAAAATGTATTATTGCTTTCAGGTACATAGGAGCTAAAAGTTTTCAAACATCAATGAGCTTCAGAATATATATCAAGATAAAATCAATGTCTTTTAGGTAAATCTCCATTATGCATTTACAGTAGTGAGTGTTTTTTTCTAAGTGTGCCTTTAAATCTTCCAATTCTAACTAAAATGCATTACATTCTGTATGGTAAGCTTTCTCCTAAGAGTTAAATTACGGCATGTATTGAATTTAGCTCTGAAATGGGAGGACAAAAATTGATTAGAGGGCTGTCTTATCAAGAAAGATTAAAGCGAGTACATATTTATAACTAAGTTGAAGGGGAAGTAGGTTAATTTGTACATGTATTTGAATAGGGCAAATGTCAGAGTAAAGAGGAATTATTTATTTTGGTACAAGGTATTATGTAGCTCAGAATATTGGGATAAAATATAGAAAGAGATATTCTGGTAAAATTTGAACTGTAAGATAGATGTAGTCTTTGTAGGAAAGTAGTAAAACTAAAATGGACTGGCCTACTTTTAAGAAATGTGTTAACTTTACTCAAGGAGTGGGAAGAAACCAGATGATGTGTTATGCTTTTTATCTCTACTGTTTTTACAACATTTTTTTCGGGGTGTGAGGGGACTTTGAAAAACTTCTGAGACTCTGTTCATTTTTGATTTTAAGTAAGATACATCCACCAACAAAAATAATAATATTAACAAGTTACCTGTGGAAGACCTACTATTACTTGAATTGCAATGCAATTGCATTAATTAAATTGCATCAAATACTTTGGTATAAAAATACTAATATCTGAATTTAAATTAAGTGAATTTAAATTGAGTAAATTTTAAAATGTTTGCTACGTACTCCCTAAAAGAAAGAAAAAATAAATAATAATAACAACAAACGTAATCCCAACGACAGCCGTTATAATGACAGCAAAAATAATTTTAATTCTAGTATGTCCTGTAGTGAGCCAAGTGTGAGACGTGAATTGGCTGCACTCTCGTTGGTCTCGTTTCATGGACTTCCCACAAAATAATTACTGTGTATTAGTCTGTGTTAGTCTAGTGTTAAAAACAAGTAATTTTCATGTACTATAGCTTGTAAATAAAAGCTAAGAGCTGTATCTGGTGTGTAATTGAAGAAATGAAGATCTCTCCTACAATGGAGGGAAAGTAGTCTGTGTTAGACATACTGACATGGTAAAAGAATTTTGTAGCGTGCTTTTGTTCTACAGACAATTATGCCTTAAATTTTGACTTTGGAACTTAACCCCTGTATAAGATGCAACTCCACTCTACTCCAGTTAACTCTTTTGATTCTCATATCATGAGGTAGACACTTTCAGTGACTCTGTTTATGACAGGAAAATTAAGGAATATAGAAGTTGCATAATTTGACCAAGACCAAATTAGTAATCCTGTAAATGGTAGAAACACTATTTAAATCAAAACTGTTTAAAGTCCAAGTTTGTGTTCTTATACACTTCCATATAGTCCAAGTTAGTGATCTACAAACGTAGAGTATATCAAAATCACCCAAAGGCAGTGTTACATATCACTTCTCCACTGTGCATTCAGTGGTGTTACATTTGCAACTTGAAATTGGCATAGTGGGGGTATTTGCACCCCAGAAATAGGTAAACACTACAAATCAGAGCCTTTCTTCTTCTTAAAAAGACATTGCTAGGGCCACCACAGAGTTTCCTACTCAATAGGTCTTAAGTGGGTCCCAATAATTTATATTTCTTAGAGGCCCTAGGTGATACTGTTGCTGGTATCTGAGACCACACTTTGAGTACCACTAATCTTAATCATTTTTCTCCATATATAAACAGGTTTATTACAAGCATTGAATAATGCAGTAAGATACTATGTATTAATAAAATCATATTTATGTTGGCCTTTAATTGGATATTAATATTTCATCAAATTGTAAGAGACTAGAAAAATTTAAACTCATATAGGAAAAAATGTAAAATTTCATTTTTAATATATATGTTAAGTGAAATGTACAGTCTTTTTTTCTAACTATGACAATTTCTACATAAATTGGAGTAAGCTTTCACATAAATCTGAAAAAGGTAACCTATATTTTTCTATAGACTCAAAAAACAAAACTAAGTTAATACCTGAACTTAATGCACTAGTTCTTAGGAGCTTTAAGAGGAAGCATAACATGTAGTCTCAGCAGTTTTAATATTCATAAGAATTATGTTCTTGATTTTATATGTAAGCTTATTGGTTTTATTTGTTTCAATTTTACTTGTTTAAAGTCAGGGATTCATTTCTATACAATATTCTTGAGTCTATCCTTAGAATTATTTATCTCAAAATGCTTAATCTACTGACAAAAAGGGCAAAATTAATGGTGTGGATGATAGTATAGTAAACATTAATTGTAAAATATTTGGGTGAATTATTATTTGAAATATTTAAAGACATAATTTATAACTGCCATTTAAATCCTGACTCAATTTTTTTTTGCATTTATTATTGATTGATCCTTTACTAAAATAATAATTTATTGAATAATATTTGAAAATCATTTAAGGCCGGGCGCAGTGGCTCACGCCTGTAATCCCAGCACTTTGGGAGGCTGAGGGGGGTGGATCACGAGGTCTGGAGATTGAGACATCCTGGCTAACACGGTGAAACCCCGTCTCTACTAAAAATACAAAAAAATTAGGCGAGGTGGCAGGTGCCTGTAGTCTCAGCTACTAGGGAGGCTGAGGCAGGAGAATGGCGTGAACCTGGGAGGCGGAGCTTGCAATGACATGAGATGGCGCCACTGCACTCCAGCCTGGGGGACAGAGCAAGACTCCATCTCAAAAAAAAAAAAAAAAAAGAAAAAAGAAAAAAGAAAATCATTTAAATAATAAACTTTTAAGGAAAATATTTGGAAGGTTATAAACAGATGGTATATCGGGTACTATTAATATCTTCTAGGTCAAAATGTAAACAGGATATTTGGTTCTGTAGTGAGAGAGAGAGTTTGTATATTTTAAAGCCAAAATATTCAAGATAAGTTCTTTGGATCCTGTCTTCTGTGCGTTAGGACCACCATGTTGCCAACCTCCAAGGGGATTACATTGTACACACAGGCAACAAACACTGAGTTGGCAAAATTGCAGCCCTGCCATACATTTTTTAGTTAAATACAGTTATTGGAATTGGTCCTAGAAGATGGTTTATAACTGTTAAAGCCATTTGCATCAAGTACCTTTTCAATGTTAAATTTAGCTCTTTCATTCTGAGGCTCAAAATCCTGCTTACTACACACTTGTCATGTATCCATGCTTATTGTAACATAATTGATATCGTCACAGGCTTAGATAATTAGGACATTAGAACTATGGTCTAGTTTGAGATTTACTTACTAATATTGCCTACTTGTTTTCTTCTTGATTAGTAGATCTATAAGTATCTTTCAGGGGGTGCTAAGTAAGTCATTCTTTTCAAAAACAGTACCTCTTCAGAGAAATTGATGTAATGTTTCCAGTCTTCATGGTCAAATCATGTTTAACAGCTCTGTTTTCAGCTCCACCAGTCACCTGCATTGCAAAACATCATAAAACAGTTAAACTTCTTTTGGTGACAAGAGATGAATAAAATATCTTAGCTCTTGGTTCCAAAGGCACAACATGATACAAGTTGGCAAGGAAGACAGAGGCATTGCTTTTTGGCTCCAAATAGCTTCATTGCTGGCTGCTGTAAAAGAAGTATGTTTTCAGCAGGCAGAAATTGACAGGAATACATAAGCTATTTTGGCAAGCACTTTTGCTTTTGGTCTTTTCCAGCTGATGCGCCAAGATGATGAAAGGCCCCAAACAAATTAACAATATTTTGTTTCTTCCTTTCAACCTTACAGCCAATAGAAATACAGTACAATTTGAAAAAAGATTAAAAGATGGAAAAAACAATGACTAAAAGGAATAACTGAGAGCATGATGGGAACTTTGAAGCAGCTTATTCCACTTGATACAGTGGAAAAATAATTAAACATTTGTTTATTAAATGCTCACTATATTCTGGCATTGGTCAGATAACAAGTTGAATCAGAAGCTTTTGTTCTAATGAAGAGACAGGGCCCATTACCAGATACTTAGTGTAAGGAATGATGTAGTAATAATATAAACAAATATCAAGGGGTACATAGGACCTGGTCTGTCTCCACACGTATCCTATATTGTTGCATAATATTGGGCAAATCATTTCATTTCATAATATCGGCAAATCATTTCATTTCATTTCTTGCAAATCATTTCATTTCTTTTGATTTTTTCATCCCTGTTGCACTGAATGCTGGCTGGAAGAAAATGCAAAACGTCTCAAATTTTGTGTTTAGCTGAGCGAGAAACTTATCTCCCTTCTGAACTGTAAGGCGTGGGTGTAGAATGAAGTCATCAAAACCAGTACCCACAACACTCGTCGGAAAAAAAAAAAGAAAGAAAGAAGTATAGGTCAATGGGAGGTACTAGAAACATTGATCAAATGTAGAGTATACGTCCCAACTGAATGTGTTACAATTTTTTAAAAATAAAGCATTGTAGAGGTGGGGACAAACATGAACCAAACACACGTGTGCACAAACACACACACACATAGTTGTCAATGAAATCTCACTTGAATCTTACAGAATAAATAATATAAGGAGGAGGAAGGCATAGTGGATTTAGAATTTAAGTTCAGCTTTGAACATTAGTATTTACAAAATCATAGAGGAACAGAAAATGTTATTCTAAAATGAGGCGTATGACCGATAAGTATATCATTTCAGAGACTCAAATATTCACTTGAAATAAAAAAAAATTTGAGAAGTCTGGACAAGAAAATCCAGATACAGTAGCTTGAAATAAGTTTAAAAACATAGATCAGCTAATTTTTGTATTTTTGTAGAGACAGGGTTTCACGATGTTGGCCAGGCTGGTCTTGACCTCTGACCTCAAGTGATCTGCCCACCTTGGCCTCCCAAAGTGGCAGGATTACAGGAATGAGCCACCACACCCAGCTGTGGTGGCATGTGCCATAATCCCAGCTGCTCCGGAGGCTGAGGCAGGAGAATCGCTTGAACCCAGTAGATGGAGGTTGCAGAGAGCCGAGATCACGCCACTGCACTCCAGCCTCGGCAACAGAAGGAGACTCCGTCTCCAAAAAAACAAAAACAAAACAGAAGAAGAAGAACAACAAAATATATATATATATATATATATATATATATATGTATATATATAGCTACACATAGATTGGTTTGAAATTTTATTGAAACTATTAACATGAACTTTAAATTCCTGGAATGTATTGAGAATACAGGAGATGAGATGACTGGTAACATTGTTTCATAAAAGTGACAACTTAGATCTACATTATTTGTCCAGATGCTTTTCTTCTATTAAAGTGAGTATGCATTCAATATTTTTCTTAAATCAAAGCCAGTAAATGAAATTTGGTATTCTCTTATTCTGTATGTTTATATTATTTTAGGCTTTATAGGACTTGAACTAAAGTAGAAAACTATTTAGTATGGCTTGAAGAAAATTCTGCCTCATAGAAGGGAGCTAGAGGTGAGAAAGACTTGAAGTTGATTTTTGATCTCCAAATACATGCTTTTGCTTTTCGGCATTAAAAAAACTATTTTATATGTATGAGCCTTTTTCTTTTATATATAATGTAAACTGTATCTCATAATATTGAAAGTGAGACCTGTTAAAAGTTTCATATTTTTTAAAGATGCATTTTGAAGCTTTTGTTCAATACAAAAAATTAAAAATTCACAAATAATTTCATTGGCCATATTTCAAATTACAGTCAGTTTGTCAAAAGAACTTATTCAGCATATTAGCTTCTAATATTTGAAGAGCTGGGAAATCTACCATATTTAATTTATATTTAAGAAAATTGTTTTTTAATTATTGCTTTCCTCCTGTTCCATTACCATGTCTGAGAAGTTTAATTATCAATAGTCTCAGACTTGCTGATTTATTATTAACATCCAGATATGTTTTTATTCAACCTGGTAACTGTTGTTAGTTATTAAATGAAAAACAAATAAATTATATTAATTAGGAATAAAAACTAATTGAAGGGATACATTAGAATCTAAAAATGTAATATCAAAAGCAAACACATTCAGAGACTGAATTTAATTAAAGACTTAAAAGTCAACAAATAAATCTGTTCTGAATGCCAACTACTTTGCTGCACCTCTACTATTACCATCTGGTTCATACGTCATGACCCTGCTCCTGGACTATGTCAATAGTTCCTTAAATGGTCTTGCTGCTTTCTAGTTCTTCTGTGATCCATTCTCTAAACAGCTATTGCTTTGTGGTCCAACCATAGTGATTTTCTTTCCATTACCTAAACATTTAAAGATCCCTTTCGTATAGCACCTGCTGGTCCTCTCTTGGGATGCTGCACCACCACACACTCGCAGGCTTGGCTCTTTCTTACCAGCCTCCTTTCTGCTCATGGGTCATCACCTCTGCGAGGCTTCCCTGACCATTACAATTAATGTAGCTGCGAACCAAATGCACACCCTCTCATATGTCTGTTTTTCTTTAGAGAATATTAATTTCATGAGACTTCCCTGTCTTATTTACTATTGTATTTCCAGTGTCTAAAACATTGCTGGAATATAGAAGACTCTCAAAACTGTTTACTAAATAAAGGAAAACTCTAATTGAGGAAAATCGTAGAAAGTGGTTAATTTTATGAGATTTAAAAGATTTACTGATTATGATTATTAACTAGCAACATTTTAAATTTAGAAGAGACAAAGTACAACTGGAACAGTCTTTTTAAACTTCTTTTTACCTTAGAATGTGCAGATTATAAAAATATTAAAAATAATTATTTTGATTAATTAACACATGAAATGACTTGGAAACATTCCTAGAACATTATGACTAGATTCATATTGGAATTAAATAATTTTTCAAGTTTTCAATATCTGTATATATAATATTCTGATAACTATAAAAAGAGTAAAGTGCTCTTATTCTTTCATTTTCTTCCTAATTTCTGTTTGAATAATTAAATGTCATTTTGCCTATTTTTATGATAAGTTCTACTTGGGTATATGATAAAATGACCCATTTTCATTTGATTATGTAACTGTTTTAGAAAATTTATTTTAAATAACAAGAATATTTACTATAATGAATATAATTAATATACATTTGTTAGGTCAAAGGAATCTTCTGCAGGCCATTTTCTGAGTGCATCTTTCCTCTCTTTTATTAATGGTTCATATTGGACAATTTGTTAAAATATGGAAATTGAGGAGATACATTAGAAAGGTCAACAAAAATATAAACAGTCTTAAGTTTCCAGGTGACATAAAACATAGTGATTTGAGTAAGGCCTAGAAGTTATAAGGCTCTGTGTTTTTTTTCTCCAAATGTTATTTAAATAGAGTAAGTGATTTTTATAGTTCTCTTCGTTCTTCCATTAGTTTATAATTTAAAACCCTGTGATTAAATATTTCAAACATTAGCATTTTCAGAGTATAAAATGTATAAATGCAAATTATTTGTATTGCCAATGAATTTTTAACTTTCAGAACTGTAAATTCTCCCAAAGTTGGGGATGCTGGGAACCATGAGGATACTGTCACTACTTCATCTCGGCACATATTCCACTTGCTTTCACTACAACTCTCTGTTTATTTTTAATGAAATCTGTAGTGCCTCTAAAATGTGTACTTTGCATTTGATATGCTTTCTCAACATTAGCTCATTAATCTTCTAGCCTTTCTAACAAGTCATAGAAAAGTGAGTCTATTCCAAGTGCAAAAATCCACAGAATAAATTTAGCATTAAGTTGTTTGTGACTGAAAGCCATAGAAATTATGGTAGTAATTAGAAATGGTATAAGAAATGCTCTGTATCCTTTTTTCCTACATTTTCTTTTTCTCTTCCTGTCTTTCTCGTATTATTTTTTCAACATTTATCTTTTAGACAGTAAGTATAGTAAGAGGAATGAGTTGATATTGACTAGTAATTATAGTAGCATACTTTTTATTTAATTTTTCTCTATAAATTTACATTCTCTGCTTAAATTCTCCATCTCATCCTTCAGTATATTGACCTCTCATGCTCTATTATATTATTTTAGTCACAGTTATTTTAATGTTCTGGTTTAATAACTGTAAACTGCGAGGACATTAGAGGCTTTGGATCTTGTTATCTTCCTCTAGAAGGGATTCACTTCAAGTTCTTTAGTCTCCTAGGACTGAATTGTTCTCAAGGCCTCTCAGCCATGGCAGTTGTGATGTCCAATTTCTTTCTCTTCTGTCTGGCACAGTTCAGTCTAGAGATTCTGCTCATCTTGTCAGTTCCCTCAGCAATCATTTTTAGTTAGCAGATGCCACAGCAAGAGGAGTTTAGTGTTATTTTAATGTCTCTGTATTTCTCTCCTACATACCTCCTCAGATTTTGACTGCATGAGAAGCTCTCAGGATTCTTCAAATTTTTTTTTTGTATGTCGCTAGCATTGGTTTGATACAATCTCACTTATCACATTCAGAAATAATTTATAAAAAATATAGTATACTTATTTAGTAGTATTTATAATATTTAATAATTTTAGTATTTAGTAATTGAGTAGTATTTGTAGGAATAAGATTTTAAAATAACAACAATATTTCTTATACCATTATTTGAGAAGTCTTTATGTAAGAATCAAACTGTTACAGCATGTGCTCAAAAACTGACTACTTTGTAATCTAAGATGAAAGGTGTAGAGTCAAATGAATAACGTTTTGGGGACAGCTTTTGACTGAGCACATGATTTTAGTTGGATCAATTAACTGTTCTCAGCCTCAGATCATCCTTTTGTAGGAAATCAACTTTTTCAGTCTCACTTCCTCTATGAATAAAGATTATCTGATAAATGAGAAAACCCGCTGAGATCCGCAGAAAGAGGGTACAATGTAAAAGTAAAACATTGTTTTGTAAAAGGAGCTGTCTCAGTAAGGGATTGCTTTATTGAGCAATCTGAACTAATTGTGATAACCTCAAAGGGTAGTAAAATACACTGATCTATGCCACCAACACTGCTATATTAGCAGATCTAGAAAGGGTGAGCAGAGATAGTAGGGAATGAGATCACAGACTTAAAAGAGTACAGTAATGGTGTGGGTATAGATTATATAGAAGTTTTTTAGGCCACCGTGTGGACTTTGCTATTTAGAGTCAGTTAGGAAGCCAAATTAAGGTTGTAAGAAGAGGAATGTCATGATTAGATTTTCTTTTAAAATATTTCTTATATGGCTGCAATATTCTGAATAGATTAACGAGAAGTAATGACAGAAACTGAAGGGGCAATAAGAAACTTATACAATAATTTTTGCTTATCTCTTTTATTCTGTCAGGAAGGTAAATGTTTGTGAGAAGCCCACTAATAGATCATACCTCAGGCTCAGTTGGCCAGGATTGAGTTATTGCTTACTCCTGAGCTGCAAGTGTATCTAAGAAAGGAGATATCTGGTATTGTCTGTGGATATAGTGGAAGACAGACTCTGCTGGCAAAAAAAAAAAAAAAAGGGAGAAATAGCCATTGGTTAGGCAATGAATAATGCTTTTCATGGTGATATTTAGGCTTAGAGCATTACGAATGCCTTGAAGCTATTAGGTAGGATATTAAATTGATGAAGTTATTTGAGAATAGCCTTTCTGACTGTTCCAGAAAAATGGACCAGTGGTGAGCAAGACAAGAAGTAAGGAATCCAATTAGAAAGATCTTGCCGTAATTCAGAAGACACATGATAGCATATGAAAGTGGCCTGGGATTGACTGAATGTGAGAGCTGAGGGTCATGGAGAGGAAGCATCAATGATGTTGCTCACACTAGATTTCTAGATTGGACAAATGGTTATAATATGTTGCCATTATTGACACTTGTGCTTTTGTTTTGAAGGGGAGCAAGTTTGGGAAGGAAATGATGAGATTAGCTGTGATTATGCTGAGTTTAGATGTGCCGGGAAAAAAATCTAAATAATAATATGAAATAAGCAAATCTGAAGCACAAGAAAAATATTAAAGCTAAAAATATATATTTTAGAGTTACATACATGCTGATAATTCTGGCCAAATTATAAAATAGTTAATCCAGAAAAAACTAAGATTGAATCAAGATGGTGTTGTGAACAAACACTTTCACTCTCCTGTCCTATATGCAAAGAAGGGACAGCGAGAGTGAGGCAAATAGCAGATAAAGGGAGGTTCAAAAATAAAATATGTAACGGAAGAATATTTGTGATGAATTGGAAATGTTCAGTCTCAGACTATAAAGAGCATATAAAATATAATCTTTAGAAATATATAGTTTTCTTTTCTTTGGAAGATAGTGGATTAGAGGCTTTTGTATGTCTCAGCCACGTGGAAACAGGAAAATAGCACATAAAAATGAACTCTGAGAGTGTTAATTCAAGAAGAAAGACAATAATTCACCAGAATAGCCAAGGACAACCCAGACCCTGGAGAGGAGAAGGTGGGCAAGCAGTCCCTGTTATGGCTTTTGGCTGATAAATATATGAGTGAAGCCCCACTACGTGAGAGGGTTAGTTACTCTCCCTCTATGTCTCTCCTTTCCTCTGGGGATCTGTGCAACCCAGGCCAAGGGAGAGCACCACTTTTCTCTCAAGCCCTGGAGCTAACTTGGGGAGAGGCAGACAGAGGGAAAGACACTGGGAAAAGCTGCAGGCATTTTCCCAGACCTAGGGCTGAGAAGAGGATGTCATTTTAAACCTAGTCTCATAGAAAATCAGATAAGGAGTGGGAGAGAGGCAGATACCACTCCCCTGGAAATCTAATCCTCACCACAGTTTACCCCTAAGGAAGGAGGGAGTGCAGCCTCCCAAAGCTCTTTTGGGTCAAAGAAAACATGAACATGGTGCCAGGTATTGAATGTAGCAGCACAAAAGCCCTGGAATAGACATGTAGGATGGATGACCCCTGCAATGGGGACATCTCTTGCCTCCATTCCCCTCTTCAGTGCACTGTTGTAGACTCAGCAGTGGCCCAGTTAGGGCCTGAGGAGTATGAGCTGAAAGAAACTACTTCTCGGCCAAGCACAGTGGCTCACACCTGTAATCCCAGCACTTTGGGAGGTTGAGGCAGGTGGATCACCTGAGGTCAGTAGTTCGAGACCAGCCTAACCAACATGGAGAAACCCCATATATACCAAAAATACAAAATTAGCCAGGTGTGGTGGTGCATGCCTGTAATCCCAGCTACTGAGAAGGCTGAGGCAGGAGGAGAATTCCTTGAACCCGGGAGGCGAATGTTGTGGTGAGCTGAGATCGTGCCATTACACTCCATCCTGGGCAACAAGAGTGAAACTCAGTCTAAAAAAAAAAAAAAGAAGAAGAAGAAGAAAAGAAAAAGAAATCAGTTCTCAGGATTTTTTAGCCTCTCCAACCCCAATGAAGGTGAACACATGCTGAGAGAGGACACTTTTTATGCTCTCCATTGCCTCGGCCACCACCCCTATCTGTTAGCTCTTATTCTTAAGTGCCATCTGCTAAACTATAGCCTGAAATATACCACCAAACAAAAATACATCACTGCAATAAGAAACATCTGAGAAAGCCACTGCATGAATCTATCTGCAGCCAAGGAACCTGTATGGAGCCTCAGCACCTTGAAAGCACTCAAAAATAAAGCCAATTGATTATATGCAACATATATCACGGTCATGCCATCAAGAGTAAAAAGAATAAAAAATAAAGAAGTACCACTGAAATTAAAAAAAATAAAAACAAACAAAAAAAGTCTCCGAATCATCAGCTCCCTGAGATGAGAAGGAATTGGCACAAGAACTGAATGTCAGAGTTTCTCATCACCTCAAAATAATACCACTAGCTCCCAAGCAATGAATCTAAATCAGAACAAAATGTCTGGAATGACAGATATAGAACTCAGAATATGGATGACAAGGAAACTCAACTAGATTCAAGAGAAAGTTGAAATTCAACTCAAAGAAGCCAGAAAAATTATCCAAGACTTGAAAGGCAACAGAACTATATTAAGCTATATTAAGATGGAACCAAACAGAAACTTCTAGAATTGAAAATTTTCCTATAAGAACTTCAAAATTCGGTTGGAAGTCTTAACAACAGGCAAGACCAAACAGAAGAAGGAATTTCAGAGCTCAGAGTTTGATCCTTTAAATTAACCCAGTCAGACAAAAGTTAAAAAAAAAAAGAATTTAAAAAACAAACAGCTTTTGAGAAATATTGGTTAATGTAAAGTGACAACATTTACTACTTATTGGCTTTCCCGAGAAAGAAGATAAAGTAAGCAACTTTGAAAACATATTTGAGTATATAATTCAGGAAAATTTCCACATTCTTGCTAGAGAGGTCAACATGCAGACATAAGAAATCCATAGAACTCCTGCAAGATAATATACAAGATGACCATCCCCAGGTCACATAGTCATTAGAGTATCCAAGGTTGATGTAAAGAAAAAAAAAAAAACTTAAAGGCAGGTAGAGAAAATGGTCATATTACCTATAAAAGGAAATTCATCAGACTAATAGTCTCAGCAGAATTCTCCGCAGAAATCTTATAAGCCAGAAGGAACTGGGTCCCCTTTTTAGCAGTATTAAAGAAAGGAAATGCCAGCCAAGAATTTTTATATCTTTCCACACTAAGTTACATAAACAAAGGACAAGGAAAGTCATTCCCAGACAAGCATTTGCTAAAGGAATTCATTGCCATTAGGCCAGCCTTATAGGTATGCTTAAGGACGTTCTAAACATGGAAACAACATAACAATATCTGCTACCACAAAAGCTCCCACAAGCACGTAACTACAGGTCCTATAAAGCAACTACACAATCAAGACTACAAAGCAACTAATTAACACTACAACAGGAAAAAATCTCTCATATCAATATTAATCTTAAATATAAATTATCAAAATGCTCCACTTAAAGGCAGAGAGTGGCAAATTTCATGAAAAACAAGAAGCATCCCTCTGCTGTCTTTAAGAAAACCTTATTTATGTAATGACTCTCATAGGCTCAAAGTAATGAGAAAGACCTATCACACAAATGAAAAATGAAAAAGAGCAAGTGTCACTATTCTTGTATCAGATAAAACAGGCTTAAATGAACAACAGTAAAGGACAGAAGGGAATTTCATAATAATAAAAAGTCTAATTCAACAATAGGCTTAACTATTCTAAATATGCTTGCAACCAACAATAGAACAACCAAATTTATAAAACAACTATTTGTGGACCTAAAAAAGACTTATACTTACACACAATAATAGTGACATCTTCAACACCCCACTGACAGCATTAGATAGCTCATTGAGGAAGAAACTAACAAAGAAATTTGGGACTTAAATTGGAACTTGACCAGTTGGACTTAATTGATTTCTACAGAATAGTTTATCCAACAATCACAGAATATACGTTTTTGTTCATCTGCACATAGAACATACTCTTAAGATTTACCACATGCTTGACCATACATTCAGTATCAAACAAAATGAAAGAAAATTAGAATCATACCGAGAATTTTCTTGGACCAAAGTGGAATAAAAATAGAAGTCTCTCAAAACCACACAAGTACATGGAAACTACACAACTGACTCTTGAATGACTTTTGAGTAAACAATAAAATTAAGGAAGAAATCACAAATTCATCTAAAATGAATGGAAATAGAGGCACAACATATCAAAACCTCTGGGATGTGGCAGAAACAGTGTTAATAGGCAAGTTTATAGCTTTAAATGCCTACATCAAGTAGATCGAAAGATCTCAAATTAACAAACTAATCTCACACCTGAAGAAACTAGAAAAACAAGAACTAAACCCAAAGCTAGCAGAATAAAATAAATAACTAAAATCAGAGCATAACTGCATGAAATTGAAACCCAAAAAACCATAAAAAGGATCAATAAAACAAAAAGTTGACTTTTTCAAAGAATAAATAAGATTCATAGACCACAAGCTAGCTTACCAAAGGAAAAAAAGAGAAAATCAAAATAAGCTCTTAGAAATGACAAAGATGACATGGCAACCAGTACCACAGAAATAGAAAAGATCCTCAGAGATTATATTAACATCTCTATGCACACATACTAGAAAATCTAGAGGAAATGGATAAATTCTTATAAATCAACAACTTTCCAAGATTGAAAGAGGATGAAAAAAAGAATCCCGAACAGACCAATATCAAGTAATAAAATTGAACCAATAATATAATCCTTACTAATCCAAACAATGCTGTGGATGAGATGAATATACAGCCAAATTTTACCAGACATACAAAGAAGAGCTGCTGCCAATTCTACCAAAACTATTCCAACAAAGCAAGGAGGAGGAACTCCTTCCTAACTCCTTCTACAATACCAGTATCATCCTGACACCAAATCTGATAAAAACTCAAAAAAAAAAAAAAAAGTGATAACTACCGGCAACTATCACTGATTAAAATATATGAAAATATGCTCTGCAAAATATTAGCAAACCAAATCCAACAGTACACCAAAAGTTAATTCACCACAACCAAGGGGGCTTCATTCCTGGAATGCAAAAGTGGTTCAACGTACACAAATCAATAAATGTGATTTACTACAAAAATAGGATTAAAAGCAAAAACTATATGATTATCTTAATAGTTGCAGAAAAAGCATTTGATGAAATCCAGTATCCCTTCATGATAAAAATCCTCTACAAACTAGGCATTGAAGGAAAATACCTCAAACTAATGAGTCATCAATGACAAAACCATAGCCAACATCATACTCAATGGGTAAAAGTAAGAAGCATTACCCCTAAAACTGGAACAAAACAAGGATGTCCATTCTCACCACTCCTATTCAATGTACGACTGGAAGTCTTAGCCAGATAAATTAGACAAGAAAAAGGAATAAATAGCTTCCAAATGGAAGAGGAACTCAAATTATCTGCCTTCACTGACAATATGATTATATACCTAGAAAACCATAAAACTTCTGCCAAAAGACTCCTAGGTCTAATAAATGACTTCAGCAAAACCTTAGGCTACAAAATCAGTGTACAAAAATCAGTAGCATTCCTATACACCAATAATGTCCAAGCTGAGAACCAAATCAAAAACACAATCCCATTTATGATAGCCACACACACACAAATACCTACGAATACATCTAACCAAGGAAATGAAAGATCTATACAAGGAGAACTACAAAGCACTGCTGAAAGAAAACATATGTGACACAAACAAATGGAAAGGTACATCATGCTCATGGATTAGAAGAAACAAAATTGTTAAAATGGCCATACTGACCAAGGCAGTCTACAGATGCAATGCTATTCCTTTTAAGTTACCAATGCAATTTTTCACAGTATTACAAAAGACAGTCCTAAAATTAATATGGAACACAATGGGAGCCCAAATATCCAAAGCAATACAAAGCTAAAGTGATACAGCCAGAGGCATCATATTAATTGACTTCAAACTAAACTACCAGACTACAGTAACCAAAACACTACGGTGCTGGTATAAAAGAGGCACATAGACAAATGGAACCACAATCCCAAAATATGTGTGAGAAAATATTGCTGAACAAATAGAGGTAATTTAAGGGAGTTGACCCTAGAATTTCTCTTTGAGAAGAGAAATTGTAGACTTATTGTCTTAGATACAGGAAAAGTAAATTGTCAACAAAAACATGTGTTACTGGAAAGTTTCTTTGAGCATGGAAACCAAATTTTTAGTCATAAATCTAAAGGGAGACAAGTCAGCATATTTGCTTATTTTTGAAAATTAGGTGGAATTTTGGATGTAATCATAATTGGAGTTTTGCCAAGTGGGTAACACAGAGGGAGAGTGAGTTAGGTGTTTTGATTTTATTAAAGAAGAAATTGTGATGATGGACCTAGAAGTACAAGCTGCATACAGAGTATATGGCAGGCCTGTGGACAGTGGTAGACACAAAAGTGGTAGAGTCAATGGATTGTATGATCCAGATAAATTAAGGCCTTGTTGATCTGTGTACACAGTAAATGAGTTGAAATGTTAGGAAGTGGTAGTGAGTCTGTTTTAAATTAAGGTTTTGGATGCCATATACATATTGGTAATAAAAATATCTAGGTAAGGAATATGAGATGAGGTGGGCAAATGGGATGAAGAAAAATATTTTAAATGAGGATGTGAAAGATCTTGAATTTAAAGTGGTATGGACCTTAGAACTAGTAAATCTTGAAGGCTACATAATAAGCAACAATGATTAGCAATAAAGAGACGTATGATGACCCAGGTGTTAAAACTTAAATGAAAGCTTTATATTGATCACAAAATTTCAAAATAGCTTGGGGTATAGCCAGATGACATGAGTTTCAAAAACGTTAGGATTATAGGAAGTAATGAGAAATATCTGAAACCATCAATTAGGAGCAAGTAGAACACTCCTCTACCTCCAGACACAGGCCTGTGGTAGGGATGTGGTGTGGGAGAAATAAGTAGCTACCCTTAAGAGAGCTATAGAAGAAATGACTCTTAGAAAGTTGAATTATGAGAAAGAATGTGTGGAGAGGAAGTTTAAGGTGTAGGAGAGATCTGTCGGTTAAAACATATGTTTTAAAGGGGATGGTGGAAGGATTTGAAGAATTAAGGAAGAGTCTGAGATGAGGAGATAGAGAGCAGGGAAGAATTGAGATAAAAAATATGTAAAACAAAGATACCTTACTTGTCTTTTAATTAAAAATGAATAATTGATTCTCATTATAGCCTCCTGAAGCTTGATCATGGTGGTGATTATGGCATCAGAGTTGGCTCAAGTGATAGTTCTGTGGAAGACTCAGAGCTCTGTTGGCCTCACTTACATATCACTGAGTGTGGTGACACAGCTGAGAAGTGGCTGAATACACCATTGCACATGCAGCTAGATGGCTTCACATTACCCTAGAACCTCTGAAACTTTGTAGGCTATCTTTTAAATACAGATTTGGGCTGATATTTCCTGTTGCATACTAGTATTTTGTGCATTTAGCTGCTAATGATTGTCTTAATATGTGTATTAGCCAGGGTTCTCTAGAGGGATAGAACTAATAGGAGATATATATATATGTGTGTGTGTGTGTGTGTGTGTGTGTGTGTATAAAACAGGATATATATATATGTAAAAAACAGGATATATATATATATACACACACACACACACATATATATATATATAATGGTGTGTTTATTAAGTATTAACTCAACCATCAAGAGGTCCCACAATAGGCCATCTGTAAGCTGAGGAGCAAGGAGAGCCAGTCTGAGTCCCCCAGCTGAAAAGCATGGAGTCCAGATGTTCCAGGGCAGGAAGCATGTAGCACAGGATAAAGATGTAGGCCGGGAGGCTAGGCCAGTCTAGTCTTTTCACGTTTTTCTGCCTGCTTTATATTGTAGCCATACTGGCAGCTCATTAGCTGGTACCCACTCAGATTAAGGGTTGGTTTGCCTTTCCCAGCCCACTGACTCAAATATTAGTCTGCTTTGGCAACACCCTCACAGACACACCCAGGATCAAGTTGACACCCAGTATTAATCACAAGTCCCCCCCTTGTCAGCTTGAACCCATATACATCTTCTGAGATAATACACAATATTCAAATAAAGACAATAATAGGGTTATAATTACAGATGATATAATGCAACTATCCTTTGTACAACCAGAAACACACCAATCAGAAATGCAAATACTATCATGTAAAGTTAACAATACTTACATGCTGATATGAAGTCAATAAATCTTATGTCACATGATAAAGGAAAAAGGAAATAAAATATATTTTCTTAGTACAAGTGTATACATGCACAAACATGTTTTTAACAAAAGAAGGAGGAAATACTCATGGTAATTACAGTCCTTGTTTCTGCAGCTGGTCATGTGACCACAGCTGGTATTGATGACTACCTCTTTCTACTACCCATTCTGTATTCCCTTTGCTTTCAGCAAGCACCTCAGCAGGTCATAACTCTTTTCCTGGTTATGGAAATGAGGTTTATGGAGTGACCCAAACCCTCATTCCTGAAGGATCTGGACCATTTGTAATCCTGCCTGGATTGGGCTATTGCAGTTTCCCATTAACCTTAATCAGAGGGCATGATAATACTAAGAGATGCTCTAATGGATCTCCTGTATTCCATGCATACTCTTCCTCACCTCCCTTGTGGAGTAGTAGACTGATTTCATCTTGATAGTCCAGGTCAGCTGCCCCAGCCAACGCTGTAACTTCCTTCTCAGCCTGTTGAATTAGAGATAGGAGGAGCCCAAAGTGTCCAGGTGGCAATCTTAACTTCCAGTTTAATGGAATCATTGTTCTGTCTTCTGGTGGCAGTGTTCCTGTCTCTGGAACTAAGACCTCTAGGCCAGCAGAATGTAAAGTCACAGGAACAGGAAGCAAAAGTTTTGCTAGTGGATCAGTAGGGGTGATGATGAGTGGTGCCACTTCCACTTCCACCCCTTGATTCCTGGACCTGTGAATCCTGGCTATGGGAGAAACAATACCATATATTGGATGCTGATTCAGAGCATAGACAGCCTTCTAAGGAAATTTGCCCCAGCCCTGCAAAATATTGTCCCCTATTTGGCACTGTAATTGTAACTTCAAAAGGCCATTCCACTGTTCTGTCAATCCAGCTGCCTCAGGATGATGGAGAACATGGTAAGACCAGTGAATTCCGTAATCATGAACCCACTGCCACACTTCTTTAGGCGTCATGTGAGTGCCTTGGTCAGAGGCAATGCTGTATGGAATACCATGATTGTGGATAAGGCATCCTGTGAGTCCACTGATGGTAGTCTTGGCAGAAGTGTTGTGTGAAGGACAGGCAAACCCATATCCAGAGTAAGTGTCTATTCCAGTGAGGACAAACCTCTGTCCTTTCCATGATGGTAGAGGTCCAATATCTGCCACCAGCTGACTGATCACCCTGAGGAATGGTGCCAGAGGAATGGTGCCATATCGAGGGCTAAGTGTTGGTCTCTGCTGCTGGCAAATTGGGCTTTCAGCAGTGGCTACAGCCAGGTCAGCCTTGGTGAGTGGAAGTCCATGTTGCTGAGCCCATGCATAACCTCCATCCCTGCCGCCATGGCCACTTTGTTCATGGGCCCATTGGGCAATGAAAGGGGTAGCTAGGGAAAGAGGCTGAGTGGTGTCCACAGAACAGTCATCCTATCCACTTGATTATTAAAATCCTCCTCTGTTGAGGTCACTCGTTGGTGAGCACTCATATGGGATACAAATAGCTTTACAGGTTTTGACCACTGACAGAGGTCTATCCACATACCTCTTCCCCAAATTTTTCTTTTTCTTTTTCTTTTTTTTTCTTATTTTTGAGACGGAGTCTCGCTCTGTCACCCAGGCTGGAGTGCAGTGGTGTGATCTTGGCTCACTGCAAGCTCCGCCTCCCGGGTTCACACCATTCTTCTGCCTCAGCCTCCTGAGTAGCTGGGACTACAGGCGCCCACCACCATGCCCAGCTAATTTTTTGTGTTTTTAGTAGAGACGGTGTTTCACAGTGTTAGCCAGGATGGTCTCAATCTCCTGACCTCGTTCGTGATCTGCCCGCCTCGGCCTCCCGAAGTGCTGGGATTACAGGCGTGAGCCACCGTGCCTGGCCCCAGATTTCTTTGTCACCAATTTTCCGATCATGCTTCTGCCAAGACCCTGAACATCTAGCAAACCACTGGCTACAGCCCGTGAATCAGTATATAATCACACATCTGGCCATTTCTCCTTCCATGCAAAGTGCGCAACCAGGTGCACTGCTCGAACCTCTGCCCACTGGGAAGATTTCCCTTCACCACTGTCCTTCAGGGATGTCCTGGAAAGGGGCTGTAGTGCTGCAGCTGTCCACTTTCGGGTGGTGCCTGCATATCATTTAGAACCATCTGTGAACCAGGCCCTAGTCTTCTCTTCCTCTGTCAATTGATCATAGGGAACTCCCCACGAGGCCATCAGTGCAGGCTGGGGGAGAGAAGGCAGAGTGGCATTCCATGGGCATTTGAGCAACTTCCTCATGTAACTTGCTTGTGCTTTCAGAACCTGCTCAAGCCCGATCACGTATATACAACTTCCATTTGATGATGGAATGCTGCTGTGCATGGTCCACTTTATGGCTAGATGGGTCAGAAAGCACCCAGTTCATAATAGGCAGTTCAGGTTGCATGGTGACTTGATGACCCATGGTCAAATGTTCAGTTTCTAGCAAAGCCCAGTAACAGGCCAAGAGCTGTCTCTCAAAAGGAGAGTAGTTATCTGCATAAGATGGCAGGGCCTTGCTCCAAAATCCTAGAGGCCTCCGCTGTGATTCACCTATGGGGGCCTGTGAAAGGCTCCAAACAGCATCCCTGTCTCCACTGACACCTCAAGTACCATTGGATCTGCTGGGTCAGATGGCCCAAGTGGCAGAGCAGCTTGCACAGCAGCCTGGACCTATTGCAGAGCCTTCTTCTGTTCTGGACCCCACTCAAAACTGGCAGTCCTTTGGGTCACTTACTAAATGGGCCAGAGTAACACACCCAAATGAGGAATGTGTTGCCTCCAAAATCCAAATAGGCTCACTAGGCATTGTGCCTCTTTCTTGGTTGTAGAAGGGGCCAAATGCAGCAACTTATCCGTTTCCCATTAACCTTAGAAGGAATATCTCAACAGACCCCACACCACTGGACCCCTAAAAATTTTACTGACCCCTGAATTTTAGTCAGATTTATTTTCCATCCTCTGGCGCATAAATGTCTCACCAGTAAGTCCAGTGTATTTGCTACTTCTTGCTCCCTGGATCCAATCAGCATAATGTCATCAATGCAGTGGACCAGTGTGATATCTTGCGGAAGTGACAAGCAATCAAGGTCTCTCCGAATAAGATTATGACACAAAGCCGGAGAGTTGATATACCCCTGAGATAGAATGGTAAATGTATATTGCTGGCCTTGCCAGCTGAAGGCAAATTGCTTTGGGTTGGCCTTATGTACAGGAATGGAGGAAAAGGCATTTGCCAAGTCAGTGGCTGCATACCAGGTACCAGGTGATGTGTTAATGTGCTCAAGTAGTGAAGCCACATCTGGTACAGCAGCTGCAATTGGAGTCATCACTTGGTTAAGCTCATGATAATCCACTGTCATTCTCCAAGATTCATGTGTCTTCTGCACAGGCCAAATGGGAGAGTTGAATTGGGATGTGGTGGGAATCACCACTCCTGCATCTTTCAAGTCCTTAATTGTATCACTAAGCTCCACAATCCCTCCAGGAATGTGATATTGTTTTTGATTTACTGTTTTTTTAGGTAGAGGTAGCTCTAATGGCTTCCATTTGGCCTTTCCCACTAACAGCCCTCACCCTACCAGTCAGGGAACCAGTGTGGGGGTTCTGCCAGCTGCTAAGTATGTCTATGCCAATTATGAATTCTGACACTGGGGAAATGACTACAGGATGAGTTTGGGGACCCACTAGATCCACTGTAAGTCAGACCTGAGCTAAAACACCATTAATTACCTGACCTCCATAAGCCCCTACTTTAACTGGAGGACCACAATGATGTTTTGGGTCCCCTGAAATCAAAGTCAGCTCACAGCCAGTGTCCAGTAGTCCCAGAAATGTCTGATCATTTCCCTTTCCCCAGTGCACAGTTACCTGGTAAAATGCCAGAGGTCTCCTTGAGGAAGGATGGGAGAATGATTAATAGCATAAATTGTTGGTAGTGTAGTGGGGTTCTTCCTCAAGGGCACCTGGCCTCCCCTTCATTCAAGGGGTTCTGGGTCTGTAAACTGGCTCAAGTCTGGACATTGGTTGAGGGGCCATGATTCTCTTTTTTTGTAATTCAAATTAATCTTTTATCCATTCAACCTAGAAGTTTTCTGCTTATATAAATTAAGTAGGCTTCCTGTCAATTTCACTTCTAGGAACACCATGATTAACTAGCCAATGCCAGAGCTCTACATGAGTCAGACTATTCTATTGCGCTTTGCCTCTGCTGTCCATTATGGTAGCTATGCCCACCTTGCCTTTGAAAGGTTGAGGTTCCTTGCCTTGGAAGGTTGAGTACTGCCACTCGGCCACTGCCATCTGGGGATCCAATTCTTCCCATTGTATTTACATTTTGTGGTTGAGTGACTGCAGTTCCCACTGTTAGATCTGACATACAGAGAAGAGCAATTACAGGGCTCTTCAAAGATACAGGTGCTGCCCTTACAAATCTCTTTTGCAAGGCATTGATCAAGGGTATATCTTCTGGACTGTCCCAGCTGGGATGACTATCCGGTCTAAAGTGACTAATCCACTCCACTACCCCAATCTCCCTAAGCCTTTGGATCCCTTCCTCTACATTAAACCAAGGTAGATCAGTCATTTTCAGCTTGCGCACAGTGGGCCGTCTTTTCATCCATATTTCAGCTAAGCAAGCAAATAAACTATTATAACTTTTTTTTAACACCCCAAGCTGCAACATTAAATGCAGAGTCCCAGTTAGTGGGCCCAAATCAATAAATTTGGCCTGATCCAACTCTATGTTCCTTCCACCATTATCCCACAGCCTTAATATCCATTCCCATGTCTGTTCTCCAGATGTCGGCTTACATAAATTAGAAAACACAAAGCAGTTATTTTCTGGTGTAGCACAGCTCCTCATGGGTCACATCTGAACCTCACCTGTAGGGGCCCGCCAGGACTTTAGTCAAGTTATAGGTCTAGAAGCAAACAGGGGTGTTGGAGGTGGCTCCTGAGGTGAATCAACATTATCTTGCCTGGCAACTGCCTCATAGGCACACCCAGGATCAATACTTTCCACCCTTCAATCCAATCAAGTTGACACTCAGTATTAACCATCACAATATATGTGTGTATATGCCCCCATAACATGCCCTATTTGTAAAGTGGCATTTCCTTCTCATTACATTCTATATGAACTTACTATTTGTTACAGTAACTGCTGGAGTGCTTACAAATTTTAAAAATACATGTTTTATACCTATGTGTAAATACCTAATGATAGCATGTATATAAACACAGATGACAAATACATCAATGCAAATAAATGTACTAAATTGCTGTTATTTCATTAAAATAATGTAAAATATATGCAATAGGTAAAATAATATAAATGTATGGTATGCAATAATAAGAGCTAACATTTCTTGTCTCATGTTATATGTTAGATGCAATCCTAAAACTGTTACATATATTCTCTTACCTAGTATTCATGAATGACACTATAAAGTAAGTACTATTATTAACCACATTTTCTAAATGAGCACATTGAAGCACAAAGAGATTAAAGAATTTGCACGTGGACCACTCACATATTTTGGACAGAGACCATGATTTAAACTCTGACTCCAGACCCAACACTTTTAATGATTATGCTATTCTGTTTCTCAGTCAGTGCACAGCATAGAGTTTTATACTCAAATTATTACATCAAGGAACGATAATTTAATGAAGTGAAACATCATTTACTTTGACACAAGAGCATATATTGAGATATGAGAAAAAGTATTAACTTATATTTTGTTAAAGTTTAAATATTTGCCACTAATTTATTATTTCACTCACTATTGCATGCCTATGTTCATGATAATGTTAAACTATGAGAGGGATTGGTTAAGAGTAAACAAAATATGTTATTTAACTAATAGATAATATATGCTATGAACACAAATGTGTGTGTTTGTATGTATGTCTGTGTGTGTGTGTGTGTGTATGTATGCTAGTTGAAATAATTCAAGTTCCATGTTACTTGAAAGAATTGAAGCTCTAGGAAAGTCGGTGATTACTTCAGGCTAAAGGAGTAATGAGCGAGAATTAACCACAAGGAGAGTTGAGCTGAGCTATGAAGTATGTAATATGGGAATTTCAAGTAGAAGTACCAGTGAGCATACACCAAAAGAAAAAATTGTATATTTACACAATGGCAACTAGCTTGATTTAGTTGGAGAGCTGTTGTTTACGAATAAGAAGTAATGGTCAGTAGGATAGAATAATAAATAGAAAAAACATTATTGAAGGCATGGATTAGATGATAATTTTTTCAAGTTTATTTAAGATATAGTGAAGGATCTGAAAATGTTCTATCAAAAAATGCTGTGATGATAACAGCTATATTTTGGAAAGATTAATCTGGAAGATGTTAATAAGTCAACACAAGAATTTCTCAATTGTAAAATCACTATGGGGGCTTTTATAATAAATGAGGGAAAAAGGAGGCTCTTTTTAGACTTTTCCTTAATTTAAACAGTAAAGTTTGGTAGCTTTAATTTTATAACTACATGACCTTAGAGAGAAATTACTAATCTCCTATTTCAAACCCCTAAAACTTCTGATAGCAATTAAAGAAAATAAAACCTAAACTAACATTAAATTTTTTACTAAATAATAAAATGTTCTTAGAATATATTCCTCAGTTTAATTTTTTCCTCATAGTTGTTTCTGTGTGAGTGGGTGTGTGAGTACTCCATGGGTGTTATGATATGCAATGAATCCCACTTCCTCTTTGTGTTCTGAAAGAGGCAGTAAATAACAATGAGCAACTCAATATACTCCTTTGCTTTCATCACTTCAGCCTTATATTGGATGAAATAACTGTTTAAAAAATAAAACCTACTATGACTAAAGACCATGTTCTGCAATAGCAGCTGAAGATCTCTCCTGCCAAAATCTATCGCACAAGAACAGCATTTGACACACCTATATTTATCCACCATCTTTTAAATTTTTGTATTGAAACCTCCACTTTCATCAAATAAATAACTAACATACAAGAAACTATATATGATATATAATTATTGTATATAATAAAATTGTTTTATTTATACTTTATTATATACAATAATTACATATAATTTTATATATAACTTATAAGATAGTATAAAGTATTATAATTATATATAATTTTAAAGTGGCAAGCAGGGCAATATATATGAGAGTTAAAGATTCATACCATCAATTACTTTTTATACTTGGTTCGGTTCTGTTATATTTTAGGTAACTAAACATCTGGAAGTTTCTGACCTCAAGAGAAAAAATTATTTCCAAAATCCTTCAAAGTTAAGAATTAATAATGGCTTAAGTGCAAGTTTAGTTACCTTTTCTGAAAGAAGTTAAACCCACTGTAGGTGAGTAGTACTGAATATTTTTTTCTCTAATTAGTGAGAAAGCTTTCATGTTTGGTCCCATTATTATGCCCAAACGTTTCCAGATTATTATTGCAGGTCCAGTTATTTTTGTAAGAAAATTGGCCGTAGGAAACTTTACCTTTAAAATAATCCTGACAAATAAAAATGAATTTGCATTTTAATATTCCATTATTATATAAGCATAGAATGTAACAAAAAAACTTGAAGAATTAGCAGAACTTAGGACTGATAACTCTACATACTCACCTGCTTTTGTATTCTCTTCTTGGTTTAGATGGAAAAACAAAAACAAAGTGAAAAGCGTGACATTCATTGTGCTGTATTATTTCTGTGATTAAACATGTAATTTAGAAGTAAGAACACATTGTAAATATGGCTAAACAAAACATTCCTCCTTTATGTAGAGGGGATAATTAGGCATATGTGGCTGACAATTCCAGGAGCCCAAAAATGGGGTTTTCTTCCCAGTAATCTAAACTTGTCAAATATATTTTTAAATGAAATGTTTCTCAGCTTTCTTTGTTTTGGAATTCAGGAAGTTGTCAGCATATATTAAGTCCAAATATCTAAATGTGCCGAAAATGATGTGTGCAGTATCTAAAAATATTTGTTTTTAAGGCAAGCAACATACAAATTTAAAATAAATCAGTTATTCATTCTTTTTCCTTGTCTATTTCTAGATATGAAAGCTGAATTAGTCTCCTCTTTAAGCAACAACCTTCAGCTGAAGCTAGGATTTCTCTACAAATGTCAGGACTTTATTTGGTTCAGAGAAATTGGGTAGTCTTTAATGAAATCTAGGAATTTTGTCTATTTGCTGAACTGTTTTACAATATTTCATAAGAGTAATCATAGACTGTTTTTTTGGCCTGCCAAGACATTTGACACTGCTGATATTTTGAAAATGCATATACACCTCAGTTATCTGAAAACAAGATTTTCTACAACCTCAGCTAGCCAGTGAAGTCCCAATGTTTATGAAGATTCTCCAGCCATCCAACCGTCAAATTCTGTGTCTTATTCTAGAAGGGATCATTGGCTCTTACATTGAATTGATTGACTCTATTGTAATAATATTAATAAACTTGTTTTGAAATATTCTCTTCTACAGCAAATTATATAAAATAAGTTAGAAAAATTGACAGAAAGATACATTTAGTACTAAAGATCTCTTAGGCACAGGAGACGAAATGAACGACAACTTTATCAAAGGTACCAAAAAGCAATGATACGGAAATTGTATTTAGTGACAGAAAACAGCTTGTATACTTTCATCATCTTGGACAGTATCACTATATTAATATTCAGCTCAGTCACTCATGTTTCTTAGAAACATGAGTCATTTTTTAAAAGCTAAATTAGGTTCCATATATTATTTTTAAAGGGGCATGGCAGTGCATCAAATATTAGATTGATATCTCTCAGGGGGAAAATAATTATTCTTTCTTTTAAGCTTCATGGCTTAAATGTATCTTTAGAAAATTACTCCACAGGTAAAAATTCATTCCCCAAAAATGGAAAGGTGAAGTGGTGTTAGTGGATATAATATGCCAGTTATTGAAAACTGAAATTGGAATGACTTATCACTAATCATTCTAAAAACAATCTTTTTTTTTTTTACATTGCAGAAACTGTTTTAGTTTACATTATTTTGTTTTGATAGAAGCAGGAGGCAGAGAAATTCTAGGCAGAAAGGGGCGAGTCCCTGGCAAAACCCCACCTTTGAGCCAAAAAGCCTGAAACCCATGGCCCAAAGTCAGAATTTCTATCCCTGCTTGCCCACTCACTTCCAATTGGTTCTTTCTGAATAATGTATTTTTACCAATCAAATGTTGCCTTTTCCAAAACTACCTATAGCCTGCCCCACTCCCCATCCTGTGCCTATAAAGACCCCAGACTCGGTTGGTAGAGGAAGAGAAGTGGTAGAGGACGAAAAGTCAAGTAGTGAGGCAATTTAACTTCAGAGGGATGGCTTAACATTGGAGAAGAGCCAGCTGGAGATGGCCAGACTTCAGGGAAGATTATGTGCCTGTTCCATCCCTTCTCCAGCTCTCCTCTCCACTGAGAGCCATGTCCATCACTAAATAAAATTCTCCACCTCCAGCATTCTTCAAGTGTCTTTGCAACCTCATTCTTCTTGGACGCTGGACAAGAGCTCAGGACCCACTGAGTGTTGGTACCAAAAAAAGGCTTTCAAAGTTGTCCTTTGCTCTCACTGGTGGAAGGCAGCCACTCTATGTTATGAGGCAAGGGGGCCGTTGAGCTGATAACACACTGCTGTCCATGAAAGGCAAAGCTAAGAGAACATTGTAACATGCCCTTTAGGGTCACAGGTACTTCCATTTAGGATGGGGGCCCACACAGAGCCTGCTCCTGCCAGAGCCCAAAGCAGCACTCGTTCACCCACATCTGGTTGGGCTGTGGGGCCTGCATTGGAGCCTGCTCCCGCAGATGCCCAGAAGGGCTGGCCGAAACCCACACTCACTCTCTGAATTGCTCCATGTGCTACAAGAGGTTGAGCATGGTGGGCCAAGTAAGTGGGGCACTCATGTGGCAAGTGCAACAAAGCGGTCAAGAAAATCTGAATCAATTTCACAGCCACAACTTTGTGAATTGTATATTCAGAGAAAACTGAGGATTAATGAGATTGAAATGGTTTGGATTTGTGTTCCCAACCAAATGTCATGTCAAATTGTGATCCCCAACGTTGAAGGAGGGGCTTGGTGGGAGGTTATCAAGCCATGGGGATGGACTTCCTCCTTGCTGTTTGTCTGATAGTGAGTGAATTCTCAGGAGATCTGGTTATTTAAAAGTGTGTAATCCCTCCCTTTTTCCGTCTCTTTCTTTCTCCAGCCGTGTAAGATGTGCCTGCTTCCCCCTCGCCTTCTGGCATGACTGTAAGTTTGCTGAAGCCTCCCAGCCATGCATCCTGTAAAGCCTGTGGAACTGTGAGTTAATTAAACCTCTTTTCTTTATAAATTACTGAGTCTCAGGTAGTTATTTATAGCAATGTGAGAATGGACTAATACAGAAAATTGGTACTGGGAGTAAGGCATTACTAAAAAGATACCTGAAAATATGGAAGTGACTTCAGAACTGGGTAATGGGCAGAGGTTGGAATAGTGTAGAGGGCTCAGAAAAAGACAGAAAGATGAGGGAAAGTTTGGAATTTCCTAGAGAGTTGTTAAACTGTTGTGATGAAAATGCTGATAGTGTTATGGACAATGGATTCCAGGCTTAGGATGTTTCAGATGGAGATGACAAACTTATTGAGAACTGGAGCTAAGGTCACTTTTGTTATGCATGAGCAAAGAGATGATCTGAAACCGGAACTTATATTTAATAGGGAAGCAGAGCATAAATGTTGGGAAAATTTGCAGCCCAGCCATGTGGTAGAAAAGAAAAACCCATTTTCTGGGGAGCAAAGTAGTTTAGGTAGTTTTCTATGGCAATGTGAGAATGGACTAATACAGAGATTAAGTGAATCATCCCAAGTCACAGAGCTGATAAATGGCAGAATGTGGGCATACACATAAATGTCATCAAAGCAGTTTTTTTTTCTGTTTCCTTTAAGACCTTCCATTTCCACTTTTATTTAGATATTATACATATCAGTATAAATATGTCACATTATAGACCAGATAGAATCAACAGATAAGTGAAACTCACATCTTATTACAGTAAATCATTTTATTCCTTTGAATTCCAAGATGAAATTGAAAGTACTTTACTATGGCAAAACCAATCGGCATTATCCTGAGTTTCCAACTCTTGCTAAAGAAGCCTAGCTTTAATTTACAAGACACAGAACTCCTGCTAAGGTTGTACGTGCAGGAAGGGCTTTTGAAATTTTTTACGATTTTAAAAAATGTTGCTCATTCTCCTTTTCTCAAATGGCTTTGTGCCATTGTATATTTCCACCAAGACAGCAGAGGCAGACAAAACAAGGAAATAGGTAAGAGTCTTCCAGAATCAGGTTCCACAGATGGAAATCCAGCCTTTCCACTTCCTTAGATTTGTGACTTTTAGCAAGTTATTTATTGCTAAGTGCCTCGTATTTTCTTCTGCAAATGATAATATTAATATTATTTACCTCACAGCTTGTTGTGAAGATTAGTGAGTGGAAACTCATTTATATAGGTTAAAAGCTGTGTGTAAAATGCACCTTACAAGCATTACAACAACTCTAAGATGTAGGTGTCTCTATCTTTGTTTTGGAGATGAGGGAAGTGCTTGAGTCGTAGAACGTTAACTAACTTGTCCAGTATCAAACTGATGTGTGTGGCAGTGCAGGAAATAAAACACAAGCATGATTATAAAGCCTCTATTTTAACCAGTTTGATCATATATTAACCTAGAACTAGGTGGTGTGTGAAATGTCATATTCCCTAAAGTGGTACATTTTTAATGAGTTCAGTAAATGTAAAATTATATAAGTTTGCTTTTCATAAAACTAGACACTCCACTGATTTCTTAAAAAAATGTTTCTAAAGGATACCTTAGAATTCAAGGCTAAGTAGTTTACCAAAGATAACACTTTACTGACAAAAGTTGCCCTTACCAAATAATAATAGTTACCATTTATTGAGCAACTACTATATTTTAGCCTTTTTCATACATTATATCCAGATCTCATAAAAACAATGTAACATAGAGACCTATATGTGCAGATGAGCACACTGAGGCTTTTAAAATTTTGGGACATTCACTTAAAGATATCCAAGTATAAAGCTGTAGACCTGTGAAATGAAACCAAGTTGGCTTAGCTCCCAAGTCTATAACTTTTCTACTCTGCAAAAGTGGCAATTACTATAATCTCCCCTGATGGCAAAACATTATATTTACTATGTAAGCACCTACCTAAAGATAATATCTTTATTCATATGAGATAATGTACCTGACATGCTTCCACATTCTTTTTGCTTTATTGTGAACTCAAGAATATTTATGTTAATTCCTTGATTTAATTTGTCATCCATCCTGCTGCCCATTCAACCATCCATCCCTTCATATATGCAACCCTATTCACTCTTTATTTCATATACCCATTGAACTAATAGGTATTGAACATTTCCTCTGTGCTAGAACTCTGCTTGGTGTTGAGAAAGAAGTGCTATTTTATTTGTGTGTGTGTGTGGTGGGGGTGGGTGTATAAAACAAGTCTAATTTATAAGGGGAAAATAACAGTTTCTTGAGAAGTCATGATTAGCTAGAAGCCTAAAATGAGTTAGCTACTCAAAGGCGAGAGGTGGTTGTATTTAAAGTCTTATTCTTCCAAGTTTTCTTGGACCATCCAATCTTCTCTGAAGAGCACATCAGTGTGCTCTATTTTTTGTCTCTGGTACTCAACTAGTCACTTATTTCCATTAAGGATGGGCAAGGAAAAAGGGGTTTGGGGAATGTTTAAATCATTTGAGAAAGCCATATTGACTTCTTGTCCTATTGCTTGTGGTAGTAAACGTGCAAATCATGGCCTAAAGGCAAAAGCAAACAAACAAACAAGCAAAAAAATACTTTGTACTCTGTCATAAGTAAAAATCTGCAGAATTACCCTAGTCTTCAAAATTAATGGAATCTTGGGCATTTTCCATACACTACTCATTCCATAATTATTTTATCTATTAATTCAGTTGACCTCTGAAGAAATGAAACAAGCTTTGTATATATGATAACCATGTGAGAGGGTTGCAGTCATTACAAAATAGACGGATTAACCCTAAACTCAGGAAATTAGCAATTTTGTATGTATGTGTGTATATACACATTTAAATATCTGTTGTGTGTTTTGCATGTGGTTTTAAAAAATCTGATTAGCCAGTTTTTCTCAAATCTGGACTCTCTTGAACATATTTTGAGGGAGTAATTCTGTTCTCTTCTGAGTTCTTTTGTTTCTGAGTCTTCCTTTTACACATGAAATGTGAACATACATTCTGCCATATAATTTATTCATTTATTTATTATTTAAAGAGCTATCCCTCAAGCTCCTATCATCATCTGTTAGAAATTCATTAGACTCTTGGATACATAAGGAAACAAATTAGCATCCCATGCCTCATCAAATTTATATTACATGTAGCGAAGACAAACAATAAACCAGCAACTACGTGTTCAGTGTGTCAGGTGGGGCTAAGGAGATAATTAAGGTTAGGCAAAGAACATGTACCTCGTGTAAATTATATGGTTAGAAAAAACTTTTCTAATGGAACTGGTACTTGAAAACAGACATACAGTTATCTGGCAAAAGCCTTTAAGGCAGATGAAGAGCAAGTGCAAAGGCTCTGAGACAGGAACTTGCTTAGTATATTCAGAATTGTGTTCATTTTGACTGGAACAAGAAGGGAGATAAAGTGGTAGATACTGAGGCTAGAAAAAAGGTAGAGATATTGAGGATACATGCCTAATCATTCAGGGCATGGCGAGCTGTTTTAAGAACTTTGGTTTTTTTTTTTTTAATAGATTTAGGGGGTACAAGTGCAGTTTTGTTCCATGGGTATATTGCATAGTAATAAAGTCTGGGCTTTTCTTACACTGATCACCAGAATAGTATACTTTGTACCCAACAGGTAATTTTTTAGCCCTAAACTCCCTCCCACCCTCTGACCTGTGGAGTCTCCAGTGTCTGTTATTCCACTTCGTATGTCAACATATACCCATTGTTTAGCTCCCACTTACGAATGAGAACATGAGGTATTTGACATTGAGTTGCTTTACTTGGATAATGGCCTCCAGTTCCATTCATATTGCTGCAAAATACATGATTTTCTTTTTTTTTATGGATTACTAGTATTCCTTTATATATTTGTAAAAGATGACTGGATAAAGAAAATGTGGTATATGTGTATGTGTGTGTATATAAGTAATATACACACACACCATATTTTCTTTATCCAGTCTTCTGTTAATGGACACAGGTTGATTCCATGACTTTGCTATTGTGAATAGTGCTACAATAAACATACAAGCTCAGATTTATTTTTAACACAATGATTTCTTTCCCCTTGGGTGGATACCCATTAGTGGGATTGCTGGATTGAATGCTAGTTTTATTTTTATCTCTTTGAGGAATATCCATACAGTTTCTCATAGAGTTTATAACTGATTTCCATTCCCACTAACAGTGTATAAGCATCCCCTTTCTCCACAATCTAACCAACATCTGTTGATTTTTTACTTTCTGAAAATAGGCATTCGGACTGGTGTAAGATGACACATCATTGTGGTTGTAATTTACATCTCTCTGATTAAGATTAGAGAAATGTTAGTGGTGTTGAGCATTTTTTCATATTTGTTGACTGCTTTTATGCCTTCTTTTGAAAAATGTGTGTTCATGTACTTTGCTCATTTTTTAATTTTTTTCTTCTTGAGTTGTTTGAGTTCTTTGCAGATTCCGAATATGAGGCATTTGTCAGCTGCATAGTTTTCAAATATTTTCTTCCATTCTATAGGTTGTCTGTTTGCTCTGGTGATTATATATTTTGCTGTATGAAAGATTTTCAGTTCAATTAAGTCCCATTGTTTATTTTTCATTTTGTTGCATTTGCTTTTGATACCTGGTCATAAGTATTTTGCCCAAGCCAGTGTACAAAAGAGTTTTTCCTAGGTTCCCTTCTATGACTTTTTTTTTTTTTAATAGTGTGAGTTCTTACATTTAAGTCTTCTTAAATTAATCGAGTTAATTTTGGTAGATAATGAGGGATATGGGTCCAGTTTTATTCTTCTGCATATGGCTATCCAATTTTCCCAGCTCCATTTATTAAACAGTATCCTGTTGACTTTGTCAAAGACCAGTTGGTTGTAGATATGTGAATTTATTTCTCTGCTCTTTATTGTCTACCATTGATCTATGTTTCTATTTCTGTATCAGTATCATGTCGTTTTGATTACTATAGCTTTGCAGTATAATTTGAATTAAGGTAATGTGATGCTTCTCACTTTACTCCTTTTGCTTAGGATCGCTTTGGCTATTGTGGCTCTTTTTTGATTCTACATAAATGTTAAGTTTTTTTTCCTAATTCTACATTAAATGATGTTGATAATTTGATAGGAATTGCATTGAATCTGTAGATGCTTTGAGCATTACGGACATTTTAACTATACTGATTTTTCCAGTTCATAGGCATGGGAAGTTTTTTCATTTGTTGTGTCATCTGTGATTTCTTTCATTAGTGTTTTGTAGTTCTCCTTGTAAAGTGTTCCCTCTCCTTGGTTAAATGTATTCCTAGGTATTTTTATTTTTAGCCATTGTAAATGGAATTTAGTTCTTGATTTTGTTTTTAGCTTGATCATTATTGGTATATAGAAATGCTATTGATTTTTAATTACAACGCATTGAGAAGATAGTAGAGTGATTTTGCCAAGGGAAATGAGTTGATTAGACTTGCATTTAAAAAATATCACTTTACTGTTTGTTTTGAGAATTAACTGTCTAGCAGAGAGTATTGTTAGTTGAGAGATTACAGTGCCTTGGTCTAGGGTACTTGTAACATACAGGGAAAAACACAGAACAAGTAGAAGAAACATGCTTTCTATGTGAATTAGAGGTGATATATGCGATAAAGAGAGGAGACCATAGTAGTTGCAGGATTGAACTAAGTGAGTGGAAGGAAGCAGCTGTTATTTACTAAGATGAGAAAGACAAAGGAGGTTTTAGCGGGTAAGATCAGGAAAACTGCAAGCCAACATCACTAATATATGCCAACACTTTTTATGCATTACTCCATTAGCCCTTACATAAAAACTTACAAATGAGTTATTATCATCTCCTTTGTGTAACAGAAGAAATAAAGAATAAGTGACAGTAAAAAATTATATAAATCTCCACAGATAAGACAGGACATCAGAATTTCAACTCATGTCTCTATTATAATGGCGTCATTGTCTGCACGATACCTGTCTTTTGCATTCTACTTGGCATTACATGAATGTTTACGAGGCTCTTTTCTGACTCTTTGATCCATCTGTAATCACTTAAGTGTATACATACTGTATGTTTTTCTGAAATTCCCATGAGTGTTTTATTTAGAGCAGACATACGGTGAGAGAGTATGAGACAGAATTGCCTCAGTATTGTTACCATACCTGACAAAACAAAAACAAACAAACAAAAAACTCTTATGACTGCAAGGAAGATAGCCAATATTGCCTTTATGTGACATAACATGATATTTAAATGTTTCATTTCATCACCTAGGTCAGTTATTTTAGTGAATAATGGAAAATTGAAGCTGTAAAATTACAAGCCAGCTGTCGTGTACACACACACACACACACACACACACACACACACACAGCAGTTAGAATTGTTGAAGAATATTAGTGCTGGAAAGGAACACAGAAGTACCATGTTACTATAGAAAGGACAAAATAGGACACAGTGTGATTACTTGTCAACATCACAAAACTAAAAAATCTGGCTTCAGAGTTTCTTCACTTGTTTGCAGATATACACCTTTCCTTTGTGTTGTGCTATATTCAGAATATTTAATAATATCAATAAAAGTGAGGCTAAGGTTTAAAATGATACAATTTAGAAGCATTTATGGTCCATAGGAATCATTAGCACTGGTTAATATCATGAAAAAAAATAGTAGGTTAGAAGTTTCAGAAAGCTTTTTTTACAAGGTTTTCATATCTTAGAGTTGTAAATTTGAGGAGGTTTGCTGCAAAGATTGTCTAAATAGTGTTTCTATTTGAATAGGGCATGTCTACTTTGCTTAGGGAGTTGTTATTAGTTTCAGTACTGACTGGAAGTGAAAATATCAGGTGCTGTTCTGTGAAGGTCTGTCTTGGGAATGAGTAGTCCACTAGAATCTATCAGTTGGTAAAAAATTGTTTGCTGATCCTGTGCCACTTGGAAGCTTTATAAAATCTTTTAGTTCCCTTGAGCCCAAATAAGCAATGAGTATTTCAGTGAATGAAGTAATACCACTAGGTCTTGAAAAATGATACAAAATAATGCCTCTAAGGAAGACCTAATATGAGGAGAGGTTTTTGGTTTTCTTTTAATTGAAAAATTTTAAAAATGTATATATTTATGGTGTACACTACCTTGTTTCAAAATATGTGTACATTGTGGTATGGCTAAATCAAGCTATGCCTTATCTTACATACTTCTCTTTTGGGAAAAACAAAATCTACTCCCTTAATCTCAACTCAACACACTCTCTATTTCACTGTACATGTTTCCAGACACAAAACATATAAACAAAACTATAATTTCAGTATCATTTGTTTTTGCACAAAGGAAAAATAATGTATTTAATAAATGAGAATCACCAATTATACTGGCATTCTATATACAAAATTCCCTCATTTCTTAAAGCATTGTTGAGGCGATTGGGTGTGAGTATGTTTGTGTGTTGAGTAAGATTCAAGGTTAGGTGGTTATGAATTACTTATTAAAGGAAAACTCATACAGCATTAATAGCTTTAATTAAAACTGAAGCATTCTTTAAAATAATGGAAACTTTGGATTGTTTCACCACTTTTTGGCAAGAATTCATGTCTAGAATGGAGGAGGAGAAATGTCTGAGAATATAGTGATGTAACGTCCTTGCAAAACACATTAGGTAAATTAAGAAAGAAGCCGTAGGCTTCACATAATAATTCTTGTATGTCTAGACTCAAGTTGTCTAGGATAGATGCTGAGTATATTTGAACCTTTTTATTTTGTCCTTCCATTTTTCAAGTTACCATGTTTAGGTACAGAATGCCTTCATTATTACAAGCTATATGGCAAATGTTGACCCTTAAAATCGCAGTTATATAAATGAAGTCAGTCTGAATTAACAAATGCATGTCTTTTCTATAGAGCAAATAAGCCATTTATGTTAAATTATTCACAAAGGACATTTAGAAAATCATAAAAATTAATCATCATGGTTATACTTGTGTATGTATGTGTGTGTGTGTCTACATGTGTATATGTGTATGATCAAGCCTTCATTTCTTTAACAGACGAATGCTCTGAAGGTTGAAAGTTAAAATACCATGAGTTAATTTGTGTTTTTATATTAATGTGAAAGCAAATTATTAGGGATAACTGAACTATATGAAGCACAAACACTGCTGATTTTATTCTATATGTGTTTCACTTATTGGACTGCTTGGGTTTGAATCTTGATGCCAGTACTTGCTAAGTAGGTAATTTTCTTACCCATAAATTGCTTCATCCTCCTGAAATGTTAAATGAGGGCAACAATAGTAACATGTCATACGTTTGTTGCCATTATTGACATAATTATTAGGTTGGTGCAAAAGTAATTGCTGTTTCAGACTGAATTTTGAATCATTATAACTAGGTTCAAACACATCTTTATTAATCAAAATAGGAACCATTACAATCAACACATTTTTGCCAACAAGAAATAAGTTTGTTTATTCCTGTAGCATAAAAAATCTGCTCTTTGGCATTCAAAAAACTCTTGGGAAGCATTTTCTGCATCCTGCTGATTGTGGGAGCATTTTCCCTGCAAAAAGTTGTCAAGATGTTTGAAGAAGTGATAGTCGGTTGGCAAGAGGTCAGGTGGATGAGAATATGGCGGATGAGACAAAACTTTGTAGCCCAATTGGTTCAGCTTTTGAAGCGTTGGTTGTGCGACGTGGTCAGTCATTGTCGTGGAGACTTGGGCCATTTCTGTCGACCAATGCTGACTGCAGGCCTTGCACTTTTCAATGCATCTCATCAATTTGCTGATGCAATGTTTTACACTGGGATTCAGAAAGCTATAGTGGATCAGACCAGCAGCAAACCACCAAACAGTGAATATGACCATTTTTTGGTCCAAGTTTGGCTTTCGGAAGTGCTTTGGAGCTACTTCTTCGTCCAACCACTGAGCTGGTTATTGCTGGCTGTTGTATAAAATCCAATTTTTATTGCACATCACAATCCAATCAAGAAATTGTTTGTTGTTGCTGTGTAGAATAAGAGAAGATGACACTTCAAAATGATTTTTTAAATTTTCACTCAGCTCATGAGGCACCCACTTATTGAGCTTTTTCATCTTTCCAGTTGGCTTCAAATGCAAAATAACCATAGAATGGCCAATGTTGAGTTCTTTGGCAACTTCTCATGTAGTTATCAGAGGATCCACTTTGATGATTGCTCTCAGTTGGTCCTTGTCAGCTTCCGATGGCCGGCCACTATGCTCCTCATCTTCAAGACTCTCTTCTCCTTTGCAAAACTTCTTGATCCACAACTGCACTGTACATTCACTAGCAGTTTCTGGGCCAAATGTGTTGTGGATGCTACAAGTTGTCTCTGATGCTTTACGATCCATTTTGAACTTGAATAAGAAAATTGGCTGAATTTGCTTTTTGTCTAACATCATTTCCATAGTCTAAAATAAACATAAAATAAATAGCAAATAATGTCATTAGCAAAAAAAAAAAAAAAACAAACAAAAACCAAAACATAAAATGAGAAATGCCCATTAAAATGATGCATAACATAACCATATTTAAGAATGTATTTCAATATCAAATGGCAAATTCCAACAATGCAAAACCACAATTATGTTTGCAATCACCTATTAATACATGTAGATATCTTAGAACATTTCTATGTATAATACATGTACAAATAATGCTAATAACTATCAATAATATTTTTCATTTTTACTGATATTTGACATTATTTTCCTGAACTTTACTAAAGTTTACCTAATTTGACATGCTGGATGACCTTTTATGTTATTTGGTAACTCTTTTATTTAATGTCTAAAATGTATTTTGTATTTATAAAATCATATTTATTGTGAAAGTTTTGGATATAAATTTTTCAGTGAGCAATTTAAAAGCAAAATTTCATTAACTAAAGATTATCACTATTCATGTTTGCTGATTTGGTGAGTTTCTTTTCAGTCATAGCTTTTATGAATATTTTACATAGTCTAATTCATTGTGTGTACGAAATTTTATATTATTTAATTAGCACTTTAAAACATTTTTCTGTATGATTACAATATTTTAAAAAACATTTTAATGGATGCATAATATTCCACCTGGTGAATTAACCATGATTTAATTACAAAGCCATATATAGCTGATAATCTTAGTGCTTGCTCAGCATGAAACCACCACTTTTCTGATTTCAAATGAATTCTGCCCTCAAGAATGATCATAACAGCTAAGAATCTTATTAATCACAAATAAATAAAATGTTTGAGTAAGGCTATTTGCTCACGAGGAGAGGGAAATAAAAAAGAAGAGAAAAGGAAATAAAAAATAGCATATTTTGTGTGACAGGTATTATAAGTGCTGATTTCATTTTGTCGTAAGTTTAGAATTTAGAGAATGTATCTTCTAAGATTTTAGATCTAATAAGTATGGGATACAAGCCTAAAATGCATGCAATCTGATTGCAGGACCCTACACTCCTACTTGGGCGGATACATTGACTTGTATGTATTTATCATTGATAAATATACTATTTTCACTAGCCTTTCAAAAAAAAATCTTAAAAAACTCACATTACAAATTATCTTATAGGAGAATCAATGCTAGAAACTGGTAAATAAAAGAACTGACACTCAAATCCTCATTTCTCATTAAAATAATGGTTGTCTTAAGATAATATCTGTATATTCTTTATAAAGGTTTTTTTGCTTTTGTTTTTATTTTAGTTTTTTATGTGAATAATCCTACTGTTTGGCAACTACATAAGTGAACAAGATCTATGTCATAAAATCTTCTTCCTACTACAGTACTTAGAGAGAAATAAGATAATAAAAAATCAAACCTCTGCAATTTATAAAATTGGAGATCTATACTGTTTAAAACATAAGTAGTTTAAGAAATCGGTAATATTGCAGCTCTGTTTTTTTTTCTTTTTGGCCTTTAATGTTTTGCCCAAGAGGTCTTCTATTCCCACAGAAAACAATAGATATAAGTAAAATCATTTTAATTATAACAAGACAAAGAATTAATTAGATGTCTGTTTTTAACTGTGATTTTATTACCTTTAGATGCAATATTAGTGTTTGCTTTATGGCAGTTTTTAAAACTATTTTTGTAAAAAGCTAACGGGCTTTGATGCTAAAATGTGTTCAATATTATCTTATTGGTGACTGTGAACCATTTTGTTCAATTAAACTTTAGCTCCAGGGTTTATGTAATATTCATTTATTTTATAAATCGTTAAATAATCATATACTGGATTATGTCTTGGATACTGTATTTAAACAATGGGGGTACAGTGACAAGTATGAAATTTAAAAATGAAATCTATTATTTGTAGTCCTTGTTGTTTAGTAGAGTAGGCAGAAACCTACACAAACAATTAGCAGATTATGTGATGCATTCTATAGTAGAATTTGATACAGGGTATTAATGAAACATTCAAATGAGGGAAACTGATCTTGCTTGGTGTTTGAAATGAGTTGAATAGCAGCCCCCTCCAAATTCGTGTCTATCTGGAACCTCAGAATATGACATTGTTTTGGAAACACGGTGTTTGTGAATGTAATTAGTTAAGATGAGGTAATACTGGATTAGGGTAAGCTCTAAATCCAGCTTACTGGATTGACATGTTAGATGACCTTTTATATGTTAACTCTTCTATATAATGTCAAAAATGTTTTCTGTATTTATAAAATTATATTTATCGTGAAAGTTTTGGAAATAAATTTTTCAATAAGCAATTTAAAAACATCACATTTCATTAACCAAAGATTATCACTATCTATGGTTGCTGATTTGGTGAGTTTCTTTTCAGTCATAGCTTTCATGAATATTTTACATAGTCTAATTCATTGTGTGTATGAACTTTTGTAATTGTCTAATTAGCACTTTAAGACGTTTTTCTGTGTGTCCTTATTTATGAAAGAAAAAATTGGATGCAGAGACACAGAAAAACGCATGGAGAAATGTTCTTGTGAAGATAGAGACCAGAGAAATAAGTTATTTTGTTCTAAGCCAGGGAATGCTTGGGGTCACCAGAAACTAGAAGAGGCAAGAAAGGGTTCTTCCCTAGAGACTTTAATGGGAGCATGGCCTTGCTGACAACTTGATTCCAGATGTCTAGCCTGTATAACTATGAGAGAATTAATTTCTATTGTTTTAAGTCACCTGGTTTATTGTAATTTTTATGGTGGACCTTGGAATCTAGTAGAAATTTTAATACCAAAAGAGAGATATTTCTGCAGCAAATACTTAAAGAGGTGGAAGTGGATTCGAAATTGGGTAAAGATTTGAGAGCTAAAAGAATTTTGAGGTGCATTGTCAGAAAAGCTCACATTACCTTTAGGAGACTGTTGATAGGAATATGGATGTTAAAGGTGATTCTAGTGAGGGATCAGAAGGAAGTAAGGAGTATGTTAGATAGCTCTTCTTTTGTTTTAGATAATTGCTTACATCATCAACAGAATGTTGGTGTAAATATCAATGTTAAAGGTGCTTCTGGTATAGTCTCAGTAAAATAAAAGAAACGTGTTACTGGACACTGGCTGAAAGATAACCCTTGCTATAAAGTGGTGGAAAACTTGGCTGAATTGAGCTGTAGTATTGAGTTGGAAAGTAGAATTTGTAAGCTCTGAACTTAAATATTTAGCTGAGGAGATTTCTAGGCAAGTTGTAAATTATGTGGCTTGGTTTCTCCTTGAGCTAATAACAAAAAAAAAAAAAAAAAAGAAAAGAGAGAAAAGACATAAATAGACACTGGAACTTTTAAGTAAAAGTGAACCAGCACTGTATAATTTGGAAAATTCTCAACATATCCAGATATTATGTTACAGGAATACATCCAAGGGTATGGCTGAGAACAAACTTTTTCGCTGAAGAGATGGTGTGTGACACGTGAATCCAATCTCCCATCTCAGCAGAAACCGGGAATAGAAACGGGTTATCCAAGAAGAATCTGTAGAGAACCTTCTTGTGCAATGTCATAGGTCTCCTTCATATATTTGGGAGACTAACAAAGTCTTTAAAAATATTATATTAGCAGAAACACTGCCAACATGGACTGAAGGGTAGATACATGGGGTGAAATGAAGGACAGCTGTTTAATTTCTGGGATACAAGCAGGAAATGGACTGATAGTACTACTCAAGTACTTATGTTTGCATATCCATCAACAAAAAGGAAAAATTAGGAGAGAGAAACGAGGCAGACAGAAAATGCCAGCCAGACAGGTACATGGCAGGGGCTCATGGGGCTTCTGCAGACCCAGAAGAGGAACTAATGGGGCCTCCTTGAGCCCAGGGGTTGACTGAGCCACAGGGAAATATTCTCGGGCCTTGCATCCTAGTGGAATTTACCCTACTGGATTCCAAATTTGCTTTAGACCAGTGACCCTTTACCCTTTACCCTTCCCATTTTCTCCCTTTCAGAATGAAAATCTTTATCCTATATCTGTCCTATGTACATTAGAATCAGATAATTTGTTTTCTACTTTCACAGGCCCACAGACAGAGGGAAATTTTGCCCCATAATGGATAATACCCAGAGTTTTATTCATAATTATTTGATGATTTAGATAATGAAATTTGAAACGTTTATAGTTGATTTTATATGAGATTTTAAATTTAGGGGTTATGCTCAAATGAATTAAAACTTTTTGGATAGTTGAAATGTGGTAAATGTAGTTTTCATTGGGATAGACATAAATTTTGGTGGCAAGAGGGTGGGCTCTATGGGGCTGAATAGTATCTGCTCCCCGACAGCCCCAACAACAACAACAACAACAACAAAATTCATGTCCATCCAGAACCTGAGAATGTGACCTTATTTGGAAATAGAGTCTTTAAATATTTAATTAGTTAAATTAATATTAGGTCATACTGGTGCTTTTGTAAAAAGAGGAAAATTTGAACACAGAGACACAGGAAGAAGATACCTTGTGAAGGTAGAGGCAGAGGCTGTAGTTATGCTTCCTCAAGCTAAGGCATGCCTGAGACTAGTAGAAGCTGTAAGAGGCAAGGGGAATGTCTTCTCCAGAGCCTTTAGAGTGGGCATGACCCTCCCAACACTTTGCCCTCAGATTTCTAGTTTCCAGGCAATGAGAGAATAAATTTCTGTTGTTTTAAGGCACCAATTTTGTAGTAATTTGTAATGACAACCATAGAAAACGGGTGCTGTGAAGAATAGTTAAGGCAGATCTTCACAAAGGAAAAAATATTTGAGTTGGCTTTTAAAGGATAAATATGTGTTATAGGCCTAAGAGAGTAAGATATATAAAAAAAAATGTCCAAGTTCTGAAAAATAGAGAAGTTTGATTTCTGAAATAAAAGATGACTTCACACAAAAATATTCTTTCATAAGAGTAATACATAATAACAACTGTCTGATACTTGACACTGAATACCATTGGGCCAAATTTGTCATGCAACCCCTCTCCATATGGCTTTTGCCCATATGTCCAAAGTTTTCTATGGTCATGACTATTATTATTGAACCTAATTTTTTAAATGTTCACAGTTTTATGGAATTTTAACTGACATAATATATGAAAGGATTTAAAGTATAGAATATGATGATTTTTTAAAAAATGTAGATATCTGTAAAACCATCAGCACAATCAAGATAATACACATTTCTATCATGCTTAAATGCTTCCTCATGCCTCTGCAATATTTTCTTTACTCACTTCCATGTCCCAATCCCAGGTTATCATAGATTTGCTTTCTACTACTTTAGATTAGTTTGCATTGTCTATATTTTTTTCAGAAAAACATACAGTAAGTACTCTTTTTGACTTGATTTATTTCATGTAGCATAATCATTTGCAATGTATCTATGTTTTTCTGCATTAAAAATGTTTCTGGCCGGGCGCGGTGGCTCATGCCTGTAATCCCAGCACTTTGGGAGGCTGAGGCAGGCAGATCATGAGGTCAGGAGATCAAGACCATCCTGGCTAACATGGTGAAACCCCATCTCTACTAAAAATACAAAAAATTAGCTGCGTGTGGTGGCAGGTGCCTGCAGTCTCAGCTATTCGGGAGGCTGAGGCAGGAGAATGGTGTGAACCCAGGAGGCGGAGCTGGCAGTGAGTCAAGATAGCGCCACTGCACTCAAGCCGGGGTAACAGAGCGAGGCTCCGTCTCAAAAAAAAAAAAAAAAAAACTTCTTAGTTAACATTTTTAATTTTATTTCCATCACTTCAAGGACTTATCCTTTCTTTGCATTGCAAACAATCCAACTGTACTCTTTTAGTTACTTTGCAATGTACAATTACTATCAAATACTAGATTTTATTCATTTTATCTAACTATATTTTTGTGCCCATTAACCATGCCCCTTTCCCCTAACCTCCATTACCTTTCCCAGTCTCTGGTAATCATCATTCTATTCTCTTATCTCCATTAGTTCAATTGTTTTAATTTTTAGCTTCCACAAATAAGTGAGAACATGCAAAGTTGGTCTTTCTGTGCCTGGCTTATTTCACTTATGTCCTTTAGTTTCATCCATGTTGTCGCAAATGACAAGATGTCATTGATTTTATTGCTGCATAGTAGTGCATTATAAGGATATGACACAATTTGTTTATATATTTTCCGGTTGATGGGCATTTGAGTTGTTCCACTTTGTGGGTATTACAAATGAAATTGCTACATACATTTGTGGACAAATCTTTGCGTGACTGTTATGGGCTGAAATGAGTATCAACAAAGTTTATATATAAAGTCCTAATCTCCAACATCTCAGAATGTAACTGTATTTGGTGATAGAGTCTTTAAAGAGGCAATTAAAATAAGGTCATTTAGGTGGGCCCTATGCCAATATGACTGGTATTCTTAAAAAAAGAGGAAATTTGGACACTTGCTAAGGGACGACCATGTGAAGACACAGGAGGAAGATGGCCATCTGCAAGCAAAGAAAAGAGGATTTAGAAGAAACCAGTCTTGCTGACACCATAATCTCAGACTTCTAGCTTCCAGAATTGTGGGACGATAAACTTCTGTGGTTTAGACCACCCAGTCTGTGGTATCTTGCTATAGCAGCCTAGCAAGCTAATAGAGTAGGCATATGCCTCAATTTTCTTTTTATGTGTTATCTGGGACTATAAATGTTTGGTTTGTATTCTAGGTTTACTTTTTTAAAAAAAATAAACCAACAAACTGTTTCCAAAGTCATACTATTATTTTAAATTCCTACCCACAGCGCATGAGGGTTCTAATGTCTCTGTGCCCTGGCCAATGCATGTTATGATCAATCTTTTAAATTTTAGCCATGCTAGTGCAGGGTTGGGGGTGGAATAATATCTAATTGTGGCATTAATTTTATTTTCTTAATGACTAATATGTTGAATGTCTTTTTGTATGTGACATTTGAAAACACAATAAAATGAATTAAATTAAAAAATAATACATTTACCTCATTATAAGGGGATAAAATGAAAATAAGTGTTCATATTTATCAAGCCCAGCTGTTTATCTTTTATAAACTAATGGACATTTTTCATTGAATACCTCCACTTTTGATCTAAACTTCCTTAGAGTTCAAGAAAATAACTGAAGAGTGGATATTTTAATATTAAAAATTGCTCTAATGGGAAACTACTAGAGGATTCTATACTTCAATTTTCAGTTTGGAGCCCTTTCTGTTATATTATATTTTGAATTATATCTAGGTTATATGCTAGATTTTGGATTATCTTTAAAAAATTGGAAATTATTCTGAAGTATTTTGGTGTAAATCTTTCTGGATTAAGCAATGCTGCAGTCCCTCTGCCATTTTGTACTAATAATATTGTGGTTTTCCAGTATGCATTTGAATGAAACCACTTGGTAATAATTAACTTGGCTTTTAAAAATCCCATCTAGTCAATCCTATGTAACTTTGACTAACTAATGTACAAGGGACCTGCGTGCCATTGTTTTTGGTAAAGTAGGGAAATGCTTTTCATGACTTTCTAGTTTCAAATATTATTCTGCCACTTACTGAGTATGTGATTTTGGCCAAATTGCAAAACCCCTCTATGTCTCAGTGACTTCATTTATAAAATGTAGATTAAAATGGTATATTTTTCCTGGATAATTAAGCATCTTAAATGAATAATATGTGTAAGTCACTTAGAATTTTTAATACTCTATGTAGTAAGCACATGATAGTAAGAGGCTCTGTTATATAAAATATACTTCATAATTTCAACTTCTGGATACTTTTATAGGATTTGATAAAATAATATATGTAAAGGTGCCTGATATATAGGGTTTCTCATTCCAAGGGGGTCTGAAATTATGTTTTTGTGGCTGCTTATTGACAATCTTATTGATATAAAGAAATATTTATGTAAAAGAATTTATTGTTTTCTATTATAAAAGTAATTCAAATTAGAATAAGGAAAACTTTGATGGATTCTTATTTTCTTAACATGATTTTAGTTCACCCATGAGGGGCTAAATGCCAACTCCAAGGTATTTCCTGATATGTTAGATCAATCAAAATGCTTGATCAATCAAAATGCCTTTCCATCTACCTTTTTGCTTCAATATATATAGATACTACAGACAAAATAAATGAAAGAAAAATATCAATCAAATGTTTGATTGCTGAAGGAGTAATAGCTTTACATTTCTTGAGTTATGTACAATTTTAAAGGCCAGCCATGGCACTGGGTATGAAAGAATGAGTACAAACACTAAAATGAATGGTGATTAATTAAAAGTAAATTGGATGGGAAATTAGAATTTTCACTTAATTTTGCTGTTTGGAAAGTTCTCATTTCTTAACAAGTGATTCAGACAAATGCTTATTGATGCTAGTTAATGAAGGTATTAAAAGAAGAATGAACTTTATGTGGGGAAACATTTCAAATGGAAATCTCTTATATTGTTTTCCCACAGGTAATTTTTTCTTTCCAAGAGCTTAGTAGAAGTGTATTTTGCCAATTTTAATTATCTGACCATTAAGAGGAATGGAGAATTTTTTTGCAAGCAGCTAAGAGAATTTCCAGTGCTTTAATGTGTTTAGAGAACCCAAAGTGAGTTACTATTTTATTTTTAATTCAAACTTGGCTTAGGTTTGGTCCTCTAGGAGATAAACTGGAAGACATTGGTTTTGAAAGAATAATAACAATAACAATATTAAGGTTTATGTTATTTACTAATTGTTTTTTATTCATTCCCAAATGGCTGAAAATGCCTCTTGGCAAATTTTCCAAGTGTTTGCAGGTGCCGAGTATGTCAAAATTTCACCTGCAGATTTCTATGAATGTGATTTCAGTAAGCTTCGTGCTGCACAGTATATGGTAAATGCAATAAAAACAGATGGACCTAGGGACAGCTGGAGTCTGAGAAGAAAAAATGAAAATAACAACAAGAGCAACAGAAACAATAATCTGGCAATTGTTATCAATGTATTTCTCATCTTTCATTGGATTAGGGAGTAGTATAGCAGGGCTTTTCAGCATCAAATCACTGGCAGTTGAATTACAAATAGGAGATAAATTGCACAGACTTCTCAAATTAGTAACCCAACTAAAATAACAAGGAGCAATAATATATAATCCCAGGTATCTTTATAATAAACAAGACCCAAGTCTTCCAGGGCCAGCTGCCAAATTTCCTCAATAGTCTTACCTTCTCTGAATTCACTTTCTGTTGTAGTCTTTCATTAAATTCTATAGATCCTTTCTGGAATTTGATTCTCTAATTACAGAATTTTCCCATTTCCATGGCCAAAAATTAGCCTACTCATTATTTCAAACAAGAGTTATTACAAAGATGCCCTGTTACTAGTACGATGAGATGGCATAGTGGAGATTATGCATGCAATTTTAACTGATTTTTAACTTCATCACTTGCCAGTTTCACCCTTCCAAACTTAATTACCTGATATAAAAATACTGTGTATCACAATTCAACATGATTCGGGTGGGGACAAATATACAAACTATATCTACACTTATGATTTGGCTCATGTAGTGTTTATTAGGTTTCTCCACTGTAATGTTACTCATTTTTCTTCTCTTTTAATACTGTAGTCTTTAGAAGGAAGTCACTATAAGTACCCCTCACTTAAGGAAATGAGAATTGCCCCTGACCTCATTGACAAAAAATTAATTGCACAAATTTTTGGTATTTTTCTGCACAGAACATGTGTTTCATAGCAAACCCCATTTTTTTACTTATGCATTTAATCATTTATTTCTGTCAGTATAAATGATATGGTTTGGCTCTGTATCCCCACCCACATCTCATCTCATCGCTCCCATAATTCCCACATGTGGTGGGAGGAACCAGGTGGAAGATAACTGAATTATGGGGACAGGTCTTTCCCATGTTGTTCTCATGATAGTGAATAAGTTTCATGAGATCTGATGGTTTTAAAAATGGGAGTTTCCCTGCACGAGCTCTCTATTTTTGCCTGCTACCATCCAAGTAAGACATGACTTGCTCCTCTTTGCCTTCTGCCATGATTTTGAGGCCTCCCCAGCCACGTGGAACTGTAAGTCCATTAAACCTCTTTTTCTTCCCAGTCTCAGTTATGTCTTCATCAGCAGCATGAAAATGGACTAATACAGTAAGTTGGTACCAAGAGTGGGGTGCTGCTGTCGATAACTGAAAATGTGGAAGCTACTTTCGAACTGGGAAACAGGCAGGGGTTGGAACAGTTTGGAGGATTCAGAAGGAGACAGGAAAATGTGGGAATATTGGAAACTTTCTAGAGAATTGTTGAATGGCTTTGCTCAAAATGCTGATAGCCACATGGACAATAAAGTCCAGGCTGAGGTGGTCTCAGATGGAGATGAGGAACTTGTTGGGAACTGGAGCATAAGTGACTCTTGTTATGCTTTAACAAAGAGACTGGCAGCATTTTGCCCCTGCCCTAGAGAATTGTGGAACTTTGAACTTGCGGGAGATGATTTAGGGTATCTGGCAGAAGAAATTTCTAAGCAGGAAAGCATTCAAGAGGTGACTTGGGTGGTGTTAAAGGCATTCAGTTTTATAAGGGAAGTAGAGCCCAAAAGTTCAGAAAATTTTCAGCCTGACAATGCAATAGAAAAGAAAATCCCATTTTCTGAGGAGAAATCCAAGCAGTTTGCAGAAATTTGCATAAGTAACAAGAAGCTGAAAGTTAAACCCCAAGACAATGGGGAAAATGTCTCCAGCACATGTCAGAGGTCTTCCCAGCAGCGCCTCCCATCACAGGCCCTGAGGTCTGGGGCAAAAGATGGTTTTGTGGGCCAGGTCTGGGGTCCCCATGCTGTGTGCAGCCTAGGGATTTGGTACCATGTGTCCCAGCTGCTCCAGCCATGGCTGAAAGGGACCAACGTAGAGCTTGGGTCATGACTTCAGAGGGTGCAATCCACAAGTCTTGGAGCTTCCATGTGGTGTTGAGTCTGTGGGTAGACAGTAGTCAAGAATTGAGGTTTGGGAACCTCTGCCTGGATTTCAGAGGCTATATGAAAATGCCTGGATGTCCAGACCAATGTTTGCTGCAGGGGCAGGGTTCTAATGGAGAATCTCTGCTAGGGCAGTGCAGAAGGGAAATGTGGGGTCAGAGTCCCCAGACAGAGTACCTACTGGGGCATTGCCTAGTGGAGCTGTGAGAAGAGCTGCAGACCCAGAGTGGTAGATCCACCGACATCTTGCACCATGCTCCTGGAAAAGCTGCAGACACTCAATGCCAGCCTACGAAAACAGCCATAAGGGAGGCTATATCTCACAAAGCCACAGTGGTGGAGCAGCCCAAGACCATGGGGACCCACCTTTTGCATCAGTGTGACCCAGATGTGAGACAGGAATCAAAGAAGATAATTTTGGAGCTTTCAGATTTCACTGCCCTGTTGTATTTCAGACTTGCATCGGGTCTGTAGCTCCTCTTTTTGGCCAAGTTCTCCGATTCAGAATGGCTGTATTTACCTAATTCCTGTACCCCCATGGTATCTAGGAAGTAACTAACTTGCTTTTGGTTTTACAAGCTCATAGATGGAAGGGACTTGCCTTGTCTCAGATGAGACTGGACTGTGGACTTTAGAGTTAATGCTGAAATGAGTTAAGACTTTAGGGGACTGTTGGGAAGGCATGATTGGTTTTTTGAAATGTGAAGACATGAGATTTGGAAGTGGCCAGGGGTGGAATGATATAGCTTGGCTATGTGTTCCTACCCAAAATCTCATCTTGTTGCTCCTGTAATTCCCACTTGTTGTGGGAGGGACCCAGTGGGAGATAAATGAATCATGGGAGTGGGTCTTTTGCATGCTTTTCTTGTGATAGTGAATAAGTCTCTTGAGATATGATGGTTTTAAAAATGGGAGTTTCCCTGCACAAGCTCTCTCTTTTTGCCTGCTACCATCCATTTAAGACATGACTTGCTTCTCCTTGCCTTCCGCCATGACCATGAGGCCATCCCAGCCATGTGGAACTGTATGTCCATTAAACCTCTTTTTCTTCCCAGTCGCAGGTATGTCTCTGTCAGCAGTGTGAAAACGGACTAATACAATGGACTTGTGGATATTAATTTTAAACTTGTTATTTATTTTGTTGTTCAAATTGTCTCAGGTTTGGTGATTAGGAATTCCTTCATTTAGCTCCTGTGACCTTTTGACATACCCATAGTTAGGTATTTTTGTTGGCTTGTTTCTGTTTTTCAAGTATTTTCTTACTTTCTGGCACTAAAAGATGCCCAGGCTTGTTTTATATATTCTCTATTCCAGCCCTACAATCAGCTATTTCTCTGAGGAACCATGTTTTCTTTTACTGGAAACCAAGATTTGGCACTTGTTGTCGTCATTACTACTGGGATGCTGTTGCTTCTGTGCCCTTTCAGCTGAAAAAGCAAGAAATATCTGTATCTTATGCCTTTTAATTACCAGAAATTTGAAATTTTAATATTTAAAAATCAGAAACTTAAATACATTTTAAATAAATAAATTCTTTGGAAATAATTTTTTCTTTTAAATTCAGAAATTTGAAATTTAATACATTTTTAATATTTTAAATCCAAGGATATTTACACTATTATTATTTTTTAAAAACCGTATTTTTAAATTTTCTACACTTATTTGTATTGTGATCTACCTACTTGCTATTATTTGTATAGTTCATGATTTATGGGTAAAACCTGATTTTTTCACTGGCAATATCTAATTGACCTAAAGCAATTTTCTAAAAAGATTATCATTGTTTTCATAAATAGCTAGCATTGGGCTTGTATCCAGAATGTAAAAAGAAAATATTGCAAAACAGTTGAAAAATGACAATAATTAAAAAAAAACTGGTGGAGCAAGTAGAATGGTAGTTCACAAACAAGAATACTAAGTTATTAAGTAAATACATGAAAAATTGTTCTGTTTCATTATCTGTCAAATGAAAATTTAAGTTGCAATAAGATACTATTGTTTAACTATGAGAATGTTTAATATTTAAAGGACTAAAAATGTTATGTGTTGATTAAGACATGGAGCAACAGAAATTTTCATTCACTGCTGTGAATAGGTTTATTGGTACAACTCCTTTTGAAAAACCATTAGCATTATTGACTAAATTTGAACATACTCAGGTATATTCCAGAAGAAATGAATACACCTGTGAACAAAAGACATGCATAGCCATGGCCATAGCCTCTGTTGAAAGCAATTTCAAGATATATTTAAGAGTAGCATGATGAAATTGATCACATATTCATACAAGGTAATACTGAACAACAATAAACATAATAATCAAAATATTTGGGTTTCTTTAAAAAGAACATACCTTATAATTTAATTTACATAAATAAAGCTAGTATATTGTGTTAGAAATCAGTAGTGTGTTTTATTTGGGGCAAAAACACGATAGTGTTTAGGAGGAGGTTTTTTTGTCTTGTGTGGTGTTGGTAGTGGTTTATTTCTTGGCTTACATGGTATTTACAAGAGTGTGTTCAGGTCTGTGGTAATTTATATCTATGGACTTAAATTTGTGAACTTTTCTGTGTGCATGTAATGCTTCAATTTTAACAAATTAAAAATGCAATACATTAAAATAGCAAAAAATGGATAAAAACATGTATAAGCACAGTGTTATGCCTTGCTGTCATTTGATATCATGGGATCTGACTCCTTTGCAAATCCAAAGAAGTGACACTTGGAATAAAGATGAAATTTAAGGCTTTGTGAGACAAAGAACAGAAGCACAATCTTTTAGAGGTAACTTAGTTTGCAGAAAAAAGTGGCATGAATTAAAATAAACAACTTGTCCTCTGATATAGTGTGCCGGTTCTACGATCTGGAAACAGTGTTACATTCCTCTCTGAAAAATGACACCTAAATGAACAGAACAGCAATAAAGGCAATAATTGCAAACATTTTTTTCTTTATAAATATTTCATGTATATTAATAATAATTTAATTTAGAAGGATTAATGACATTTTGATGAACACCAAAGCAACTAATGATTAATCTAGTTATTATAGAGTGCTTCTGCTTGAGATAACATTTTGCAATCCTGGCAGTAGCAGAATCCATCTGGCTCTTAAATATATGCATATTTAGATGAAATCATAAAATGTTACAGTCTGAACACTAATAATATATTTAACAAATTCATAATTGCCAAATAAAATATTTTTATTCGCTTGTTAAAAATATAGCTCTTAGTAAATATGTTCTTTTTTTAGTCTTTCCTGAACTTAGATGAGTTGAGTTTGTTTTTACTATTTAGAAATTGTAGTAGCTTTATTTCTCTGGTAATATGACATGAATTAATTTTTTATAATTTTTTGCCCTTGTGCTCTAAGCATGAAGACTATGTAAACTGTCAACTGAAAATTATTCAAATTAAAATTATAATTCCTCACCTTAAAAATTCCAAAGTGTGTATGGTTGATGGTACCACAATGAAGCTACTAATTTTGTCTCATTTACCTTTTTAAAAACTTAATATGAATAGCACCTACAAACATCCTGGTTCTTCTAATCGCTTATCATCAATAGTTTCTGTAAAATGGATAGAGAACTGTGAAATAAGAATTTTTAGCAGTATGGAAGGTTCCTCAAAAAACTAAAAATAGAATTGCGCTATAATCCAGCAATTCCACCTCTGAGTATCAAAAATAATTAAAACAAGATCTCAAAATTATATTTTTACCCTCATGTTTATTGCAGCATTATTCACAGTAGCCTAGATGAGAAAACAATTTAAATGTCCATCAATAAATGAATATATAAGGAATATGAGATATATGCATACAATGGAATATTATTCAATCACAGAAAAGGAAGTCCTGCCATATGCAATACATGGATGAACCTTAAAAACATTATGCTAATGATTCTTCTTTCTGTGGGGTATCTAAAATTGGCAAACTCATATAAGCAGAAAGTAGAATGGAGGTTATCAGGGGCTGAGGGCAGGGGAAATGTGAAGTAACTGTTCAATAGAAAAAAAGTTTCAGTCATGCGAAATGAGTAAGTTTGGAGATCCGCTGTACAAGCTGTACTGTGCTTATAGTTAACAATATTGTACTATACACTTGACAATTTGTGAAAAGGGTAGATACCATATTATGTGTTCTTACCACAATAAAAAATGATATATCAGAAACAAAATATAAAAATGTCTAACTCCAATATCACACGACTAATGAGAACATATGTGAAGTGCAATGTTGATTACATTTGTAGAAAATGTTTTTAGCACTCTTTCAATTGTTGTCTCTAAATACAGCACTGTCCCCTCTAATGGAACAATATACCCAATTATTGGGACAGCCATATTAAGCGACTTCCTTTTTATATCAACATTTTTGTTCGGGTTACAGATGGTTGATGTTGCAGAAATGGATCTTGTAGTTAGTGTACTCACATTTTCTAAAACCAGAAAGTCTAAGTAAATTAGACACTAAAAATTAAGATTTCATAACTTTTCTTTTATCTAATTACTCAATTTTTGGATTGAAATGATTTGCCATTTCTGTGACATACTGATTTAACTTCAGAATCTACAAAATAGAGTAGATTTTAACTCTGTAGTGAACATTATATTGCATGATTTTACATAAATTATCACATTAGATTCTGTATTTCTTTTATTTAATGGGATTTATATTTATATTTTCCAGGTGATAAAAGACTATCTCAAAGTTTTAACAATTTGCCTAAAGTCTCATAACTAATAAGTAGAGAAATAGTTAATCATCCCAGGACGGTCTTACTGAAGACAATGTCCTTTCTGCTATTTCATTCTATTCAAAAGTTTATTTCACCTGTCCCTTGTATCACTGGATTCTTCGTCAAAGAAAAGGATCTCTGTAATCAAATATATTTAGGAAATGATGCATACAGTCTCATTCTCTTGGAGATGTACACTGCACATGAGCATAATTAAGATCCTGAGGCCGGTCGCGGTGGCTCACGCCTGTAATCCCAGCACTTTGGGAGGCCGAGGCCGGCGTATCACCAGGTCAGGAGTACGAGACCAGCCTGACCAACATGGTGCAACCCCGTCTCTACTAAAAATACAAAAATTAGCTAGGCATGAGGGCGCGTGCCTGTAGTCCCAGCTACTCAGGAGGCTGAGGCAGGAGAATCGCTTGAACCCGGGAGGCAGAGGTTGCAGTGAGCCGAGATCGTGCCACTGCTCTCCAGCCTGGGTGACAGAGCGAGATTCAGTGCCAAAAAAAAAGGGTCCCGAGAAGTTCTCCAGTGACAACCGGAGCATATTTTTAACCAAGGGATTTCCAAGCTTTGGGTGAAAAGACCCCAAACCCTTCTCATTAACTAAGATCCATGTAGAAGAAGCTTTCTGAGGAAAACAATTTAAAAATTGATTTTTCCACCATAGTTGCTTGATCCTTTTTCAAATTGGTTTTATTATAAACTTAAAATGAACTTAAACATATTATGTTAAGATAGACACAAAAAGCCACCTATATTATTATTCTATTTATATGAAATGTTCAGAATAGGCAAATCCATAGAGAAAAAAAAAAGAAACCAGATTAATGGCTATCAGATGCTGGCAAGAAAGAAAAAATGAGAAGTGGCTGCTAATTAGTATGGAGTTCTTTTTGGGGTTATGAAAATGTTTTACAATTAGATAATGGGTAGGGTTGTATAACTGAGACTATACTAAAAATCATGAAAAGGGTGAATTTATTGTAAATAAATTATATATTAATAATGCTATTATTAAAAATTAAATAGATTCAAGAGGAATGTCACCAAATAAATGCAAATTCAAGTTGATTGTCAAGAATTAGTGAGTTTAAAAACTGAATACATTCACTTTTCACCTAGCTATATTGGCCTTAGGAGCCAGAGAGATAAATGTATGAATTTAACTTCTATATTTACCAACTATAGGATGCTGGACAAGCAATTTTGTGTTGTTGCTGATGATTGGCTTGCTGTAGAATAAGAATAAATACATTCGGCCGGGCGCGGTGGCTCACGCCTGTAATCCCAGCACTTTGGGAGGCCGAGGCGGGTGGATCATGAGGTCAGGAGATCGAGACCATCCTGGCTAACAAGGTGAAACCCCGTCTCTACTAAAAATACAAAAAATTAGCCGGGCGCGGTGGCGGGCGCCTGTAGTCCCAGCTACTCGGGAGGCTGAGGCAGGAGAATGGCGTGAACCCGGGAAGCGGAGCTTGCAGTGAGCCGAGATTGCGCCACTGCAGTCCGCAGTCGGGCCTGGGCGACAGAGCGAGACTCCGTCTCAAAAAAAAAAAAAAAAAAAAAAAGAATAAATACATTCACCTCATTGAGTTGCTGTGAGTGCTAGAGGAGAAAACATGTTCAAACATCTGATATTGGGTGTGTCACAGAGTTTTTAGTTGCCAGCAATAGTGAATAAAACTTTTTACTTGCCTTGGCCATGGCTGGCCTATAAGCTAAGGGACAAGGAGTGGGGGAAAAGGAAGGTGGAGAGATATTGGGGCTCACCACAAATATTGAAGAGTCATTTTCTGTATTATAGTTATTCATGGAGTGTGAAACTAGAGGTGTGGGGTGGATAGGAAACACTTTGTATTGTGTAATCCTATGTACCGTTTTTGTACTATGTGCATATTTATATCTTGCCATATTTGTGTGTAATTTTCATAATAAAAGATAATCTGCCATTTTACTTAGATTATCACCATTAAAAAAAGAATACTCTGAAAATTGAAAAGGGATCAAGGAGAAGCCACTCCTAAGATGTAATTTCATTAACTTATCTGGAAAATGATTTGAGGGCCTCAATGTATTTAAATCAATTGTTCCAGTAACTCTTCCAGAAATCTCTGATAATAGAAAAATTTAAAAATACAAATAAATTTTGATGAGCACTAATGCCATCTCTAGGGTTACTCATAATGACAATAAAATTGGAAACAGAATAAATGATAATTTAGTAAATTGCATTTTTCTGATAATAGCTTGATGATGAGAAATAATAAAATATATCAACAATGGTAAAAAAATCAGTATGGTAAAACCTTCAGATCTTTAATTTTTCAATCTTAGTTGTTGAAGACTGTGCAGAAAGAGGCATATGTACTGGTGACAACTCTGTCAAATAGAAAAGTTAATTAGGGTGAAGTGTGATCTGATGATTATATAATAAAATAATAGTATAGTTATCTATTGTTGATAAAAGCAAATACAAAAAATATAGTTTTAAATTACTTGATTAATTCAGGCAAGTTATTTTTTCACAGTTTGGGGGTTTGTTTCTCAATTTGCCTTTTTAACTTATATTACTGTAGAACACACTGTATTTTTTTGGAAATATGCTTTTAAGTAGAGGGAGCCTTTGTGAGATTTGTGAGAAAATTAAATAAAATTTAGTTCTTTTCTCTGAGTCTTTGCAAACTTTTTTTTTTCCCAAAGAAAAACACTTTTTCAAAAGGGTGAAAGAAAGCAGTCTGAAAGCTACATAATGCAGCTGTTCTGTGTTATGGATTTCTGAAGACTTCCTATGGCTTCCAAGTAAGAAGAACTACTGGAGATGAAATAGAAATAATTTATTTCCTATACTGAAAGAGGATGCAGTTTTTTAGTCAGTTTCACTGGACCAAATCTTTTTGCTTTATTTGTAGAGCAAATCTTTTTGCTTTATTTGTAGAGCAAATGAAATGGCAGAATGCACAGAAAACTTTTTATTTTTTTTACCAGAATAACAAAACAAAAAATAACTAGTGTTTCCAAGTTAGCATTGATTGAGTGTCCTGGAAAAAATTTTGACTAGTAAGTTTTTCTTCTATTACTAGCCAACACTTTTTTTTTTTTAAAGTAGGTATGTGGAAGAAATTACTATAGTAATTTTGTTGATATAATTGCATGTTAGATTCTTGTATTTGAGCATTAACTTATAATTACCTTCTTGGCAAATTTGAACACACTTTCATTAAAGATTGTAAGTGGTAACTCTCAGCTGTCTCATAGAATGTCTCAAGAAAAAAATTAGGCTTTTAGTCTAGACCACTTTTTAAAGAAGAGAACACTAGCATGTTTTTAAAAGTTGTCACTTTTTAATTTATGTTACAATATAGATTGTATAGAAATCTCTTCCAACTGTTTAAAATTAAATACAGGCTGCTCGAATAACTAGTTCTAATTTTTTAAATGTATTTTTTTTTCTGGCAATTAGAGCAAAAACAAGTGGCCCTCAGAGGAACAATATGTACATATTTTTAGTTATAGATACACATTTACAACTGATATTTCCTACAGAGCCAAATAGAGAAAATATCTTTAGAAATCTATTCAAATTTCTAGTGAACATCCCTAATTTGAGTGGTAAGATCCTTAGATAAAACAAAAATTCATGAGAACAAGTAAAAATTTTTCATACTGTAAACGTTAGTATTGAGTATAGCTGTGATTTGTTGTCATTGTAAATATATTGTGGTCTTGAAAAGTAGCAGAGTAGTTTGAAGAGAATCAAACTAAAAATGCCCTAAGAATGAGAGAAGAAGAGGATGCTTTTGCAATTTAGAAGGTAAAATGTGCTTTTTGTTGTTTAGGTTGTTAGGTTTAGACTCTGTCTTTGAACAACAGCCTTATATACGTGCCCCAAGCCTCTTTATAAACTCGATGCCAAATCGAAGCAGAGTTTTCAATTACTAACAAGGGTTTCTGTTTAGCTATTATTTTATGTACTCTTTTAAAATTATATTTTTAAAAATGCTGGGTGCCTTTGTTTTTTAATTGACTGCAAAGTTCCAACCCCCCAGGTTTTCTTTTCGTTTTTGATGAGCTGTGAAGAAGGTTTTTTAATGAGTTGGTAAGTGACATTGATTACCATTAAATCACATCCAGGAGAGGAAACAATGCTATAGTTTTAGCTTATAGTTTTCTGGATTCCACAGTAGGTTATGCAAGAGCAGTCTTCACGTTCAGCAGCCCCCAGGCCACAGAGGACCTGATAACTTACTCTAAGAGTGTAGAATAGAAAAAAAAAAATCATGGCTATAATTTACTGATATTCTCAAACTTGGTTATAATCTAGTCAACCTTTAGACAGAATTACAATGTTGGTATTGTAATAATAAAAGTTATATTATCTTGCACTTCATTAGTATAGGTAATTTTACCAAATTTAGCATGTATTAGATTTTCTACATCCCACATAACGTTGGATCGAATTTGCTGTAACTTTTATAGACAATTCATTCCATTTTATTTTCTCTCCAATTTTTTGTATTTAAGCTAGTAATAGTTGCTTTCACGACAACATTCTAACGAGTTGCCCTAATTTTGACCTCCCCATACTTTTGAATCCATGAGGCATACTTTGCCGCATGGATTAAAATTTTCCTAAAGCACAGTTTGGGTAGAGTGATTTCTCTATTTTATCATCTTTTTCATTGTTTAATAAAAAAATTTAATTTTCTTAGTGGGACATTTAAGAAACTTTACAGTCTGATCCTTTGTATTGCCATCTAAACTTCCACACTCAACTTATTTATGCTCTAGGTTAACTTCAGTCACTCAGCTTCTTATTGATTTTAGATGAACTGGCCTTCTCTGAAGTATTACGTCTAGCATACTGTTTCTTCATCAGTAAACAACAAAATTTTCACAGATATATTGTCAAATTTTGACCCATTTTAAAAATCTATTTTTATATAAGTATAAATACTTGGTATTATGATGAGGCCTATCAGACAAACTGTTTCATGAAGAAGGTCATTCAGTGAGCAGGATGTGATTTGCTACAAGGCAGAGATAGAAATTTAATGCCAAACTGCCACCAAACATAATACCTTGCTTAGTGAGATCAATAATAACAGCCTGGTGAGTATATAAGGAAGCTAGGTCAGGGCAGTAAATGATTCAGTCTAAACAACAATATGATCCCGAAGGAGCACCAATTCAACACAAGGATGATCATGGATGCCTTTAAAGACAACGTGGAACATTGTTTTAGTGTGATGGTGATTGTGTTGTTTATTATTGCCTCATACAATGTTTTTGTTTTAAAGGATGCTGCAAATGTGGTATGTTGGAACATTGCTTAACCAATCCATTTTTCCTTGAATATCGCACCTCTACTCTGCCCCCAGACTCCTAACCTGACCCTTAACATCTCATCCTTCAAATGTTCTATACCAAAATCACTTTGTTAATTACTCATTATCTAAATTCCTGTAATAATGTGGCAGAACCTCTAATGTGGGCATTTCCATTATTTTTTTCTAGCTTTATATTACAATTCTAATTTTTTCTTTGCTTCCTCACTTCCTTTATATGGTTGAAAATTCGTATGGGCATGGTTCCTACCATAATTATTTATATTTCTGTAGTCTCAATATTTTTACAGTTTATGTCACATAGTGTCTTCTTGAAAAATATTTCTTTTGTAAATGGTTGCATTAAATATGAATGAATGAACATTCTTTTTTAAAAAATAAACTGAATGCATGATTTATTTTGGAAAAAAGACTAATCTCCACCTATCTAAATGCAGACATAATCTTAGTTGCTTTGTCCAATGTTAATTAATTTCTTAGAGATTCATATTCATTTAATTATTTCAGACCCTCTTTGCATACTAAATCATATTGTTGTTTCTACATGTAATGAAAACAGCCCCTTCAAATTTATAAATATGCTATACTATCTTATTCATTCCATATTCATTATAATTGAGTAAGATAGTTTTTTTCATTTTAAACTATATTTTTGACATTATCACCGATGATAGATTTTTGAAAACTCCTTGACATCTTTAGTATTTCGTAAATTATGGGTTTTAGCTTCTGCCTCTCATTTTGTTAGTGGTATTAATTAATCTTTATAATAGCCCTTTACCACATTTCTTGCAGAAATTTTTTTATTAACTTTGATTTCATTCACTCTTAATACAAATTTATTTTGTTTATTCTATGGCTATATGCTTTTTAGTATGCTTGGTATGATATTCACACATATTTTGTCCTTGAGATACAAGTTTTATCTTAAGGCAGATATGATTAAGGTAGTGTGTATAAATTCACCACTGGACCCAGCACAGAAACAGAGCATAAAAAATATGTCTTTCTTTAGTCATGGCAAAATAAATGCCATTTGTGATAAAAGTGGTAAGATAATTTTAGAAGTCACACCTTCCTCTGGTTCTGCATTAAGATTTGTTGTAAGCTTCGAGTGCTATTTACTTCTTAATCAGGATGGGAGAAGAAAGTGTGTGTGTGTGTGTGTGTGTGTGTATAAGAAAGAGGGCAGATATGTGTTTAACCTATTTCATTCATTCAACAAATATTTATTGAGCACTTAATATTTGGAAGGCTCTCCCAGATGCAGAAGATGTAACTATGAATGAGAAAAAGTCTCTTCTGCCAGGATGTTCAAATTCTTGAGAGACAGGGGATGAAGGAGACATAAGGCACAAGTAAAAAAATAAATAAATAAACCATATAAAACAGAATTATGCAATAGAGCTGATGGTGATGGAAGCAAAACAGAATTACTATACTTTGGATTAGGTTATGTAAGAATGACTCACTGAAGAGAGGATATTGGCCAGGCAGAGTGGCTCAAGCTTGTAATCCTAGCATTTTGGGAGGCCGAGGCCAGTGGATCCCCTGAGGTCAGGAGTTTGAGACCAGCCTGGCCAACAGGATGAAACCCCATCTGTAATAAAATACAAAAATTAGCTGGGTGTGGTGGCACATGCCTGTAAACACAGCTAGTCGGGAGGCTGGGCCAGGAGAATTGCTTGAACCCAGGAGGCGGAGGTTGCAGTGAGCCAAGATTGTACCACTGCACTCCAGAATGGGTGACAGAACGAGACTCCCTCTCAAAAAAAAAAAAAAAAAAAAAAAAAAAAAAAAAGTAATAATAATTGAGGATATTTAAGCTGAATTTTGAACAACAGTAAGAATACAGACATAAACTTATATTAAATGGCTCTCCAGGCATAGGAAAGTTAAATGTATAAGCTGTAAGGTATGAATAAATTTCATGTTTCCTGAGAGTTAAAATGATAATCAAGAAATCTTGTATGAATGTAACATAATAAAGAAGTATGGAATTATAGGTTTATATAGACTAAGGGCTTTGAGTTTCACATTGAGCATAATTACAAGTATTTAAGATAATTTAATGAAAGGCAATTGTGGACTGACTAACATAAAGAATTGAGAAATGAAAGGGCAAAATTTAGGTGTTGGAAAGAATCAAGAAGACCTTAATGAGCCGAAAATAAGGAAAGTACAGTGATCCACAAGATAACAATGGCTTATCATTAGTTTTCATACCGAACTCTAGTAGGGAATAGGCTTGGTTAGTCTCCAAACTTTAGTTTTTTATCTAATGATGTGGTAAGTGTTTTCTTTGCACATCCAGCCCAAATGTAAGAGTACATTTTCATTTTCATAATATTAGGACCATGTCTTTAGACTGATTTAATTATGCAGGATGTCTCACGATACAGTAAGGAGTGGGCCAAGGCTCAGTAGCTATCTTGATGCAATATTTCTAAGCATATTAAACATCAATCTTGTCTTAGTTCCACATGGGCTGCAATAAGAAAATACCATAAGCCGAGTTGTTTATAAGCAAAAGAAATTAATTTCTCATAGTTCCGGAGGCTGAAAAGTCAACTGCCAAGGCACCAGCAGATTTGATGTCTAGTAGGGGTGCTGTTTCTTGTAGGTGATTCCTTCTCATGTCCTAACATATAAGGGTCAAGGCAGCTCTCTGGGGCTTCTTTTATAAGGGCACTAATATCATTCAAGACAGCTTGACCCTCATGACCTAATCACCTACCAAAGCCTTACATCTTAATCCTATCACATTAAGAATTAGTTTCCAGCCGGGCATGGTGGCTCACGCCTGTAATCCTAACACTTTGGGAGGCCAAAGCGGCCGAGCACGAGGTCAGGAGATCGAGACATTCCTGGATAACACGGTGAAACCTCCTTTCTACTAAAAATACAAAAAATTAGCCAGGCGTGATGGCAGGCCTGATGCGACCTGTAGTCTCAGCTACTCAGGAGGCTGAGGCAGGAGAATGGTGTGAACCCGAGAGGTGGAGCTTGCAGTGAGCCGAGATCGCACCACCGCACTCCAGCCTGGGTGACAGAGCGAGACTCCATCACAAAAAAAAAAAAAAAAAAAAAAAAAAAGGATTACTTTTCAACATATGAACTTGGGGGAACAGACAATTAGCAAATATGTAAGTTATGATCTATTGAATTTTATTTTATGAGGTTCAGCAGTAAAGGAAATAACTTATTGTCACTAAGAAACTTGTAAAATATGTCAGGATATATGATGCATAGCAAAAAATGGAAAGAGTAAAAATAAAAAATCTGATACCAATTTTTGCTATGCCTATGATGAGCCAACTAATCTGTAAATAATTTACTGTCTGATCCCATTTTAAAGTTATATAATAGCTGCTTCCTTAATGTATACCCTCAAGGTTTGTGTAAGTATGCATACATTCATCTTAGGATATGTTACTTAATCTAGAAAGAAAAAAAATATCTTGGTATCGAATATTTCTACCTTGAAGGGCCTTAAAAGATAATGTTATATGACTACCTGATTTTAAATATTGGATACTGAGTGTTCAGTGAATACTAAATACACTATTATCAGAGATACTACTAAGGCTAGGTCTTTTAATATTTCAGACAAGGTTTTGTATCTAAGGTCTTAAGAAATAAAGTAGGAAGGTACACTTTGCTATAGAAGCAAAAAAAGGAATTTCTTCTTGCATAACATACGATTAAGTTGATGATGTGCAAGTCTACAAAGAAGTGCAAGATTAAATATGGAGACCCTACCTAAATGGATAATCACTAGCAAGACAGACATCTAGAACAAATATCCTCCTGAGTTCATCTTTCTTGTGATTTTTATTGTTATATTTTATTATTTTATGTTTATAAAATATTTTTACCTCCAATAGTGATAACTTTTGTCCATTAGTCACAAATTTTGCTATGATAAAGAGTTCAGATTTGATACATCCCTACCTGTGATATGCAAGGAGGGAAATGGGGAAATATTTCTTTATATTCTATTTGGCAGGTTCAAATCTTTTGAAACAATGTAGCAAGTAGGCATTTAGAAAAGATATGTAGAGTTAGAGATATAATGAGGAGGAAGCCCCCAAAGAATAACTGTCAACCCTTGATGACCCCAATTTCAGAAGCTTCAATAATATTGCAACTACGAGCAAAGAAAGCTCATTTTTTACTAGCTTCCCTGGAGACAATATCTCCAATCAAAATTGATTACTTTTTCATGCTATATATCATGCAGAATTGCTAACAGGAAATCTACTCTTCACTCATTTCCTTGGCCTACTTCTTGGCAACTCCATTACACTGTACTTAATTTTCGAGTAAATAACATATTAAAAATTAATCAAAGGAAAGAGTAATTTGGAATTTAGAGGTGAAATAAAAGTAAAATGATACAGCCTAAGTTATCAGAGATTCTACCCTGGTAGAGACTTAAATTTTAGGCCCTGGAGGGAGGGAAGAATAAAAAGAGTTCTCCTTCAGGCATTTAAAATTTCAAAATAAATGGCCCATCAGTTGAAATTCTGGAGTTCAAAGCAGTATTTCCTTAGTGGATTGAAGAGAATATTTTCCAACAGTTCTGCCCCTAACATTCGTAGAATGGTATGGAACAAATGTACAAATATATATATATACATACACACACACACATACACCTAATATAGAATAGAATATAAGTAAAATATGTCCTTGTATCAACTTTACAGATATATATTCAAAATAACTCAACGTCTAAACTTATAAATAAAATTCTCAAAGTCTTCTGTAGGTCACACAAAGATAGCTTGGACTTAGCCCCCAGCTTTACTGCTGCTTCTCTTTTTCTTCACGTACTGCAAGGGGCTTCAGATGCATTTGTATGGGTACCACAGCCCATTAATCAAAGTTTTCATACTCCACAAATAGCTGCCTCCTCTTTGGCATAGTGATGTGCTTGATAACTTTCTTTCTTTGGGGAAGTGGGCTGTGGATTCCTTGGGCAGGGAATGCTTGGGTCCTGTAAAAGTCTAGAAGGTTATGAGAATGTAGCCATGGTCCTTTGACCTATGAGTTCTTTACCTCATGGGACAGCTACAACCATGGGAAGTCCAGGGAGGAATTATCTATATTAAGACTCAGAGAGGAACAAAGGTGGAGGCATCACATTGCCTGACTTCAAGCTAGCTATAAGGCTATAGTAACCAAAACAGCATGATACTGGTATAAAAACAGACACATAGAACAACGAAACAGAATAGAAAACTCAGACATAAAACCACAAACCTAAAACCATCTGATCTTTGACAAGGCTGATGAGAGCAAGCAATGAGGAAAAGACTCCTTATTCAATAAATGGTACTGGCTAGCCATATGCAGAAGAATGAAACTGGACCCTTACCTTTCACCATATACAAAAATTAACTCGAGATAGATTAAAGATTTAAATGTAAGACCTCAAACTATAAAAATCCCAGAAGAAAACCTAGGAAATATTTTTCTTCACATTAGCCTTGGCAAAGAATTTTTGTCCCCAAAAAGTCCCCAAAAGCAATGACAACAAAACCAAAAATTGACAAGTGCCTCCTAATTAAACTAAAGAGCCTCTGTACATAAAAAAAACCTCAACAGAGCAAATAGATAACATAAAGAATGGAAGAAAATATTCTCTAAGTATGCATTTGACAATGATCTAATATCCAGAATCTAGAAGGAACTGAAACGAATCAACAAGCAAAAAACAACCTCATTAAAAAATGGGCAAAGGACATGGACAGACATTTTGCAAAATAAGACATAAAAGTGTCCAACAAACATGAATAAATGCTTAACATCACTAATCATCAGAGAAATGCAAATCATAACCACAATTATATAACAACTTATCCCCGTCAGAATAGCTATTATTAAAAAGTCAAAAAACAACAGATGCTGGTGAGGCTTCTAAGAAAAGGGACTGCTTATATACCGTGGGAATGTAAATTAGTTCAGCCGCTGTGAAAAACAGTTTGGAGATTTCCCTAGGAACTTAAAGGAAAGCTGCCATTGAACCTAGCAGTCCCATTACTGGGTGTATACCCAAAGGAAAATAGACTATTATACAAAAAGACAAATCCACTCATATGTTCATAGTTGTGCTATTCACAGTAGCAAAGACATTTGTAATAGTTAATATTGAGTGCCAACTTGATTGGATGGAAGTGTGCAAAGTATTGTTCCTGGGTGTGTGTGTGAGGATACTGCCAAGGAGATTAAATTTGAGTCAGTGGACTGGGAAAGGCAGACCCACCCTTAGTCTGGGTAGGCACCATCTAATCAGCTGCCAGTGTGGCTAGGATAAAAGCAGGCAGAGGAACGTGAAAGGACTAGACTGGCTAAGTCTTCTGGAGTCCATATATATGTCTCTCGTGCTGGATGCCTCCTGCCTTTGAACATTGGACCCCAAGTTCTTTGGCTTTTGGACTGTTGGGACTTACACCAGTGATTTGCCAGGGGATCTTGAGCTTCAGCCACAGACCGAAGGCTGCATTATCCGCTTCCCTACTTTGAGGTTTTGGAACTCAGACTGGCGTCCTGGTTCCTCAGCTTGCAGATGGCCTGTTGTGGGACTTCACCTTGTGATTGTGTGTGTGAATTCTCCTAAAAAACTCCCCTTCATGTAGATATCTATTCTATTAGTTCTGTCCCTCTAAGAGAACACTGACTAATACAATACTGTTTTTTAAAAAAGAGATAAATGTTTGTCAGTGACATGTTCTCTGAACAACAGTCTTTCCCAGGGGAAAAATATGAGCCAACTCTATGGCATAGAATACTGTCAAAGGAAGTATGATTTCACCCCAAGCTCTTCATGACCATTGCCTCCCAGATGGCTGTTCTCTGCTGGGGCCTGGGTGCACATGTAATGATTTGAGAGCCCTCACAAAGAAACCTCTACCTCAAATATATTGGTAGTAACTCTAGTTATTGACTTTTCTCCACAATGCTATTTTAAAATGCACATCTTCTTGAGGAGGAAGACATCTTATCATGAAAGCCTTTCCTAACATTGAGTTTATCACTCTATATTTTCCCATTTTCATCTGCTCTTTCCCATGGCACTTCATAATTTCTTTATGGGGGGCATTGCATAACACTGGAAGGAGCACTACGTTTGGAGTCCAGCAAATGTATTTTAAATGTTGGCTTAGTCATTTTCAAAGCTTTCTATCCTGGAAAAATTAAATAACTTCTCTAAGCTTCAGTTCTTTATCTATAAAGCATTCACAAACAATCACATGGACTTGATGTGTGAATTTAAAGTGATAATGCTTGAAATATCCATGTGCAATGTCTGTCACAGAGAAACTGCTCAGTAAATTGCTATTCTCATGCATATCTCAGAGATTGCATTTAATACAGTTTCTAAACCACAAGAATCTAAGCTTCTTAAAGTCAAAAGACATCTTTTAATATTTTCTGTATCCTCAGTAGCCAGCACAACGTCTAAAATATAATATAGCATTAAAATCAGGTTATAGGCAGCAAAGGAGCACAGGACAAACTCTTCTCTCTTCTTGTAGCTGGGCTTTATCTCTGGTCTGATAATTGCTTCTCTACTTGGTATAACCTGCAAGTAAAGAGGATCTGGCATGCATTCATTAACCTGATTGTTTATCTTCAGTCAGTCAATTCAATTAAACCAAATTTATTGAGGGCCTACCCTGTGTCAGGCACTGGGAAAACAAAGATAAATAAGACATTTTGTGCTCATAGTCTGGTGGGGAAGAGAAATAATGAAACCAAGGATTGAAGTTCAATTTAAGAGTTATTCCTTAAGATTTATGCTACTCTTCCAGCTTACCTGAGTTTACCTTTCTCATTTGGTACCCTCTATTCATTCATTATCAATGTTTTTGATGAATACTCTGTATTTCATTTACCTCTGGCTAGGTATATTGTATTCCCAAACTCTCAATGCCAATCCCAATATAATTATGTTTTTATACTGTTAAAAATCTCAAAACATATTTTCAGAATCTTTATCTCATTTTAATAACTCCAAAATGTGAAAAAGTATAACTATATTTTTATGTTAAAGGTGATGAAATTGGAGACTTGTAGAGTTTATGTGAACTGCTCAAAGTCACAAAACTGAAGAGATAATAGATTTGACTCTCAAGCTTAAATCTTTGTAAACAGATTTTCTTGTTATTATAATTTTTTGGAACTCTGCCATTAGGTTTTTGTTGCATTGCATTTTTACTTTTCACATTCTAACAGAATAATATTTAACAAAAGATACAAGGAGAGACTTTGAGAGGGCCCAATAAATACCCACTTCTGTGCTCAAGTTCTGAGCCAACTGAAAACTAACAGTGATACTGAAGAATGTGACTTGGACCTAGATCCGATTTGACTTATTTGCATTGAAGAAAATAATTAATAAGGCAATGACTTATTCACTACTAAAATACTCTTCCAATGAGTAGCTTTCTAATAAAACTCTCAGCTTGTAGGAGCAGAGGTCTTGATTCCTACAAGCAGGTCTGTTCCCAAAAAAAGGGGAGAAAATGGTATAGACTGGTATGCAAAGTATCTATTTTCAAACATAACAATCAGCTAAGTTACTTATCTTCTCAGATATTATGATTAGAAGATTGGTTTAAAAAGTGCAGCCTTGTTACATAAGTAAAAGTCCCTTCACATAGAAGAAGCAACAGGAATTGGAAGGAAATATTCCCCAATATTATTATTAAGGTTTTGTTCTTTCAATCCAGCATTGGTAGACTTAAGCCAATTGCCTACCAGATGAATGGTTATCCCCTGTGTTGGAGAAGATAAGCTGCCTATTTTGATAGCACTGCTGAGTTTAACTTCTTAATATTAACTATTTAAATTATTTTCATTGAGGTTCTGTTGGTAGCTACAGATTCTTGCACTGAAAACCTCCAAAATTTGTCAGAAGAGTATATTTATAAAATGAATTTAAAGGTTGTTCTATATCCAGAGCTGACACATTTACTCCGATCTTTAGTGTTGGTTTATTTTAATTGACACATTGTAATTGTATATATCTACGAGATACAATTTGATGTTTTGATGCATACTTATGTTAGATAATAATACAACCAGGGTAATTAGTATAACAATCACCTCAGGCATTTATCATTTATTTAAGGTGAAAACATTTTAAATCCTCTCTTCTAACAATTTTGAAAAATACAATATTTTATTGTTAACTATATTCAGTCTATTGTGCAATAGAACATCAGAATATTTTATGCTATTAAATTATAACTTGAACCCATTGAACAACCTCTCTCAATCCTCTTCTTCTCACTTCAGTCCTCAGTTTCTGCTTTGATAATATCAACTTAAAAAAATTAGGTTCCACATATGGGTGTAATCATGTGGTATTTACCTTATTATGTCTGCCTTAATTCGTTTAACATAATGTCCTTCCGTTTCATCCATCCTGGCACAAATGACAATAATTAATTCTTTTTATGGCTGAATGGTATTCCATTGTGTGTATGTATCTTAGTCATTGTTTGATACTTAGCTTAATTCCATATCTTGGCTATTGTATATAGTTCTGCAGTGAACATGGAGGTTGATATATGTTTTTGACAAACTTATTTTATTTTCTTTGGATGTATACCCAGGAATGGGATTGCTGGTTCATATGGTAGTTCTATATTTAATTTTTTGAGGAGATTTTATACAATTTTCCATAATGGCTATACTAGTTTAGAATCCTACCAACAGCTCACCAACACTTGTTTTCTTTTGTCTTTTTGATTTTCTACACAGCCTCACCAACACTTGTTTTCTTTTGTCTTTTTGATAATAGCCATTTTAACTAGAATAGTGATATATCACTGTGGTTTTGATTTGCATTTCCCTGATGATTAGTGATGTTGACCATTTTTTATATACCTGGTGGCCATTTGTGCGTCTTCTTTTCAGAAATGTCTATTAAAGTTTTTATTTTTAAATCTGATTTTTTGTTTGTTGTTGTTTTGCTATTAAGTCGTCTGATTCTCTGATATATTTTAGATAGTAACCCCTTGTCAGATGTATGGTTGCAAATATTTTCTCCCATTTTTAGGTTGTCTCTTCATTCTGTTAATAGTTTAGTTTGCTGTGCAAAAGCTTTTTAATTTGATGTTGATGTAATCCCATTTGTTGATTTTTGCTTTTGTTTCCTGTGCTTTTAAGTTCTTAAAAAAATGCTTGTCTAGGGCCAGGTGCAGTGGCTCACTCCTGTAATCCCAGCACTTTGGGAGGCCGAGACGGGCAGACCACGAGGTCAGGAGATTGAGACCATCCTGGCCAACACGGTGAAACCGTCTCTACTAAAAATACAAAAAAATTAGTGGGGTGTGGTGGCAGGTGCCTGTAGCTGACATTGCATCACTGCACTCTAGCCTGGACGAAAAAGCAAGACTCCATCTCAAACAAACAAACAAACTTGTCCAGTCAAATGTCCTGAAGCATTTCCCCTATGTTTTCTTCTAATAATTTCATAGTTTCAAGTTTTACATTTACGTCTTTAATCCATTTGGCATTGATTTTTGTGTATGGTAAAAGATAGTGGTCCTGTTTCCAGAATTCATGGGTTCTTGGTCTCGTTGACTTCAAGAATGAAGCCACGGACCCTCGCGGTGAGTGTTACAGTTCTTAATGGTGATGTGTCCAGAGTTTGTTCCTTCAGATGTTCACATGTGTCCAGCGCTTCTTCCTTCTGGTGGGTTTGTGGTCTCCCTGCCTTCAGGAGTGAAGCTGTAGACCTTCGTGGTGAGTGTTACAGCTCATAAAGGCAGCACGGACCCAAAGAGTGAGCAGCAGCAAGATTTATTGTGAAGAGCAAAAGAACAAAGCTTCCACAGTGTGAAAGGGGACCTGAGGAGGTTCCTGCTGACGGTGCATGCAACCTGCTTTTATTCCCTTATCTGGCCCCACCCACATCCTGCAGATTGGTCCATTTTACAGAAAGCTGATTGGTCCATTTTACAGAGAGCTGATTGGTCAGTTTTACAGAGAGCTGATTGGTCTGTTTTGACAGAGTGCTGATTGGTGCATCTACAATCCTTTAGCTAGACACAAAAGTTCTCCAAGTCCCCACCCAATTAGCTAGACACAGAGCGCTGATTGGTGTGTTTACAAACCTTTAGCCAGACACAGCATGCTGATTGTTGCATTTATAATCCTTTAGCTAGACGGAAAAGTTCTCCAAGTCCCCAGGGTTCCCAGAAGCCTAGCCGGCTTCATCTCTCACTGGCACTTGCCAGGGGACTTTGCAGCACCTAGCCCGGCACTCCAGCAGCCCAGAGGGAGCTTGTCCCAGACAACCAAGAGGAAAAGAGGGGAAGTGAGAAAGAGACACAGACCCGCCATCGTGGCCAACAACCCCACGAAGAGGGAATGGCGGTCCATGCACTGGACCCAGCCTCTGATCAAGCCCAGCAGGTGCTGGCCAGCTGCACCAAGTGCGGGGCCTGCTGAGCCAGCACCCACCCTGAACACGTGCTGGCCCCTGAGCGCGGTGCCCAGCCCCAGCTCCTGCCCGCGCTTCTCCCTCCACACCTCCCCTAGAGCAGAGGGAGTCGGCTCTGGCCTCAGCCAGCACCAGAGAAGGGCCCCAACAGCACAGCAGCAGGCTGAAGGGCTCCTGGAGTGTGGCCAGAGTGGATGCCCAGGCCGAGGAGGCGCCAAGAGGGAGCCAGGGCTGCTAGCATGTTGTCACCTCTCAGTCCAGTTTTATTCTTCTGCGTGTGGATATCAGATTTCCCCAGTGTCATTTATTGAAGAGATTGTCGTTTCCCCAATGTGCGTTCTTGGCATCTTTGCCAAAATTTAGTTGGCTGTAGGTGGATAAATTTGCTTCTGAGCTATCTATTCTGCTCCATTGACCTATGGGTCTGTTTTTATGCCTGAACCATGCTGTGTTTGGGCTAGTGATGCTTTGTAGTGAAGTCAAGTAGTGTGATTCCTCCATCTTTTTCTATTTGCTCAAAGTTGCTTTAGATATTTGATACATTTTGTGGTATCATATAAATTTTTGGATTTTTTTCTATTTATGTAAAGAATATCATTGGTATTTTAACAGAGATAGCATTAAATGTATACGTTGCTTTGGGAAGCATTAGTATGTTGAAAACTTTAATTATTGTAATCCATGAACACACGATATCATTTCATTTATTTGTGGCCTTTTTATTTTCTTTCATCAAAATTTGGTAGTTTTCAGTGTGGAGATCTTTCATCTCCTTAGTTAAGTTTAATTCTAGGTTTGTTTTTTTTTTTAGATATTGTAAATTAAATTATTATTCTGATTTCTTTTTCAGATAGTTCACTATTTGTGAATTAAAATGCTACTGATTTTTTATGTTGATTTTATTTTCTGCAACTTTACTGCATTTATTAGTTCCAATAATTTGTTCATGAAGTTATTATGGCTTTGTATAGTTAAGATCATGTTTTCCGCAAACAGGGAAAATCTGACCTCTTCCTTTCTAATTTGGAAGATTTTTATTTCTTTCTCTTGCTTACTTTAACTGGCTAGAACTTCCAGTATTTTATTGATTAGAAGTGGTGAAAATGAGCATCCTTGTTTTGTTCATAACCTTGCAGGAAAATCTTCCTGCCCTCCTCCATTTGATATGATGTTAGCTGTGGATTTGTCATATACAACCTTTATTGTGTTGAGGTATAGACATTCTATACCTAATTTGTTGAAAGTTTTTAATTTTGAAAGGATGTGAATTTTATTAATTTCATTTTCTGCGTTTATTAAAACAATCATGTTTTATTGCCATTCTTTATTTTAATGTAATATATCATATTTATTGATTTGCATAAGTTAAACCATCCTTGCATCTCCGGGATGAATCCCACTATTATCATAATGGATAGTATTTTTTATGTACTGTTAAATTGAGTTTGCTAGTATCTCCTGAGAATTTTTGCATCTATATTCAGTAGGGATACTGGCCCTTAGTTTTCTTGTGTGTGTGTGTTTCTTTGGTTTGGGAATCAGGGTAATGTTGACTTCATAAAATTACTTTGGAAAAAATGTTTTTATCTTTAAATTGCTGAAGTAGTTTGAGGAAAATTGGTATTGGTTCTTTAAATCTTTGATGAAATCCTTCAGTGAAGCCATCAGCTTCTGGGCTTTTCTTTGATGGAAACCTTTTTATCTGTGATTTCATTTTCTTACTGATTGTTAGTCTGTTCAAGTTTTCTATTTTTTAATTTAATCTTGGTTGTTGGAATGTGTCCAGAAATTTTTCCATTTTTTCTATATTATCAAATTTGTTCTTGTATAGTTGTCAATAATAGCTTTTATAGTCCTTTGTATTTTTGTGGTATCCATTGTAATATCTCTTTTTACATCCCTGATTTATTTACTTGACTTTTTTTATTTTTTATTAGTCTAGCTCGAGGTTTATTGATTTTGTTTATCTTTTCAACAAACAAACTCTTCATTCCATTGATCTTTCGAATTGCATTATTTTAGTGTGTATTTTGTTTATTTCGGCTCTGAGCTTTATACTTTTCTTTCTTCTACAAATTTTGGGTTTAGTTAATTTTTGTTCTTCTAGTTTCTTGAGTTACATCTTTAGGTTGTTTATTAGAAATCTTTCTTCTTTTTTGATGTAGGCATTTATTGCTATAAACATCTCTCTTAGACTGCTTTTGCTTTGTTCCATACGTTTTGGTATGGTATAGCTTCATTCTCATTTGTCTCAAGGAAATTTATAATTTCCTTTACATTTCTTCATTGACCCATGAGTTGTTTAGAATCATGTTGTTTCATTTCCATTTATTTGTAAAATTTCTGAAGTTTTTCTTGTCATTGATACTGTTTTATACCATTGTGGTCAGAAAATACACTTAATATAATGCCTATCTTAAAATTTTCAGACTTCTTTTGTGGGCTACCATGTACTCTATCCTGCAGAATGATCCATATGCAGTTGAATAAGATGTGTATTCTGCAACTGTTGGATGAAATGTTCTGCAAGTGTCTGTTAGGTTTATTTTATCTATACTGAAGTTTAAGTATAGTGTTAGTTTGCTGATTTTTTTGTCTGCATGATCTATCCACTCTTTAAAGTGGGCTGTTGGCTGAGTGTGATGGCTCACACCCATAATCTTAGCACTTTGGGAGGCCAAGCCAAGTGGATCTCTTGAGCTCAGGCATTTGGGACTAGCATGAGCAACATGGTGAAACCCTGTCTCTGCAAAAAATATAAAACAAACAAACAAAAAAGCCAGGATTGGTGTTGTGTGCCTCTAGTCCCAGCTACTTGTGGACTGAGGCAGGAGGATTGCTTGAACCCAGGAGGTTGAGGCTGCAGTGAGCCAAGATTGCACCACTGCACTCCAGCCTGAGTGACAAAGTGAAACCCTGCCTCAATAAAAATAAATAAATAAGTAAAATAAAAATAAAAACTTAATTTAAGAAAAAGTTAAAAAAATAAATAAAGTGGGCTGCTGATTTTCCCTACTGTTATTGTATTCCAGTTTATCTCCCATTATGTCTAATAATATTTGCTTTATATATCTAAGTGCTCTAAATTTGCTTATAGATGTAATTAACAATTTTATACTCCCTTTTTAAATTTATCTTTATCATTATATGAACTTCTTAGTCTCTTTTTACAGTTTTTGACTTAAAATCTATTTTATTTGAGGTAAGTTGGCTGTTTACATCTGCTTTTGATTTTCTTTCCATGAAATATTTTTTCCCATCCTTTTACTTTCAGTGTATGCTTGTCTTTAACACTGAGGTAAATCTCTTGTGAGTAGCATATAGTTGGGTCTTAATTTTTATCCATTCAGCTGTTCTATGTATTTCAATTGGAGAATGTACTCCATTATGAGGGCCAAAAAGTTTCATGATAAGCTGTCTAGAAGTTGGAGACACTGGGATGCTGGTAGTATGGCTCCATCCAAGTCTTAAACCCTCAAGAACCAGGGAAGCTAATGATGGAACTCTCAGTTTAAGGCTAACAGCTTGAGGATTGAGAGATCTGCTGGTGTATTTCCTGGACTCCAGAGGCCAGAAAGCCTGTCATTCTGATATCCAAATGTGAAAAAAAAAAGTTTCCCAGCTCCAGGAGAGAATGTGAGAGAGAGAGGGGGAGGGGGGAGAAGGAGAGAGAGGCAGAGAAAGAATAAGAAAAAGACAGGCAGAGAGAGAGAGATTTTCCATTACTCTACTTTTTTTTCAATTTATGTACCCAGCATATTGGATGATGCCCACCCACACTGAGAGTGGATCTTCCTCACTTGGTCCACTGACTCACATGACAATATCCTCTGGAAACACCAGCACAGACACACCCAGAAATAATAATTTGCCTGTTCTCTAGGTAGTCTTTAATCCAGTGCAGTTGACATTTAAAATTAAACATTATAAGGATAGGGTGGTGTAAATGTATTTTGCTTACAGCCCTTTTCTTTTACTACGTAATTTAAAACACAGCTACATGCAGCAACAAATATAAAAATGTGTTAATCAAAAGATGCAATTTGTTTGACAATAATAGCACAAAAATGAGGGGCAAAGCTACAATGCAAGAAAATTATGTATACTATTGAAATTAAATTTGTGTTAAACTGAACTAAATTGAATTGTTTAAAAGCTAACTGAGACTTCAGGGAAGCCAAAACGAAAATATTTTTTAAAATATAGTGAAATAAACAAGAAGGTAATCAAAATGATATATCCCCAAAAAGTATATGTTTAATAGGAAAGTAATCAAGAACTCTGAAACAGAGAAACCAAAAGGACATAAGACATATAGGAAACGAATATAAAAAATGGCAGGTGTAAATTATAGCTTATTAGTTATATGACATGAAAATAGTTTAAACACATTCTAATGGAAAGACAGAGACTGACAGAATAGATATAAAATGACTCAAATATATGCTGTCTACAAGTGACACATTTTATATTAAAAGACATAGATAGGTTGAAAGTAAACAAAAGATTTACAGCGCAGACAGTAAGCCAAAGACAGTCACTACATTGACAAAAGCCAAAATAGAATTTAAGGCAAAAAGTGTTATTAGAAACAAAGAAGGAACTTTTACAATAATAAATAATTGATCCAGCACAGAGACAGCAATTATAATCATTTATGTTTATAACAAGAGAGCTCCAAAATATATAGCATAAGTGAACAGAACTGAAAAGAGAAATAAGCAATTTAAAAATATAGTTGGAGACATCATTACCCTACGTTTAATAAATAAAACAACTAAGAAGATCAACAAGAAAATAAAAGATGACAGTATAAACCACCTAGACCCAACAAACTTCTATAGAAGGTACCACTCAATGAAAGCAAAATGTACTTCCTTCTCAAGTGTTCATGGACATTTTCTTTTTTTTAGTTTTTATTTTCCATAAGTTATTGGAGTACAGATGGTCTTTGTTTACATGAGTAAGTTCTTTAGCAGTGATTTGTGAGATTTTGGTGCACCCATCACACGAGCAGTATACACTGCACCATATTTATAGTATTTTATCCCTTGTCTCCCTTTCCACTCTTCCCCGCAAGTCCCCAAAGTCCATTGTATCATTCTTATGCCTTTGTGTCCTCATAGCTTAGCTCCCACATATCAGTGAGGGCATACGATGTTTGGTTTTCCATTCCTGAGTTACTTCACTTAGAGTAATAGTCTCCAATCTCATACAGGTCACTTCAAATGCTGTTAACTCATTCCTTTTTTTTTTTTTTTTTTTTTTTTTTTTTTGAGACAGAGTCTCACTCTGTCGCCCAGGCTGGAGTGCAGTGGTGCTAACTTGGCTCACTGCAAGCTCCGCCTCCCGGGTTCACGCCATTCTCCTGCCTCAGCCTCTCAAGTAGCTGAGACTACAGGCACCCGCTGCCGTGCCCGGCTTATTTTTTGTATTTTTAATAGAGACGGGGTTTCACCGTGTTAGCCAGGATGGTCTCGATCTCCTGACCTCGTGATCCACCTGCCTCGGCCTCCCAAAGTGCTGGAATTACAGGCATGAGCCACTGCTCCTGGCCACTCATTCCTTTTTATGGCTGCATACTATTCCATTGTATATATATACCACGGTTTCTTTATCCACTTGTTGATTGATGGGGATTTGGGTTGGTTACACAATTTTGCAATTGTGAATGGTGCTGCTATAAACATGCATTTGCAAGTGACTTTTTTGAATAATGACTTCTTTTCCTCTGGGTAGATGCCCAGTAGTGGGATTGCTGGATCAAATGGTAGTTTTTACTTTTAGTTCTTTAAGGAATCTCTACACTGTTTTCCATAGTGGCTGTACTAGTTTGCATTTCCACCAGCAATGTAGAAGTGTTCCCTGTTCACCACATCCATGCCAACATCTACTGTTTTTTGATTTTTTGATTATGGCCAATCTTGCAGGCATAAGGTAGTATCATATTGTGGTTTTGATTTGCATTTCCCTGATTATTAGTGATGTTGAACATTTTTTTCACGTTTGTTGGCCATTTGTTTATCTTCTTTAGAGAATTGTCTATTCATGTCCTTAGCCCACTTTTTGATGGGATTGTTTTTTTTTTTTCTTACTGATTTGTTTGAGTTCATTGTAGATTCTGGATATTAGTCCTTTGTCAGATGTACAGATTTTGAACATTTTCTCCCACTCTGTGGGTTGTCTGTTTACTTTGCCAACTTTTCCTTTTGCCGTACAAGAACTCTTTAGTTTAATTAGATCCCAGCTATTTATTTATTTTTATTTTTATTTTATTTATTTATTTTTTTAGATGGAGTCTTGCTCTGTCACCCAGGCTGGAGTGCAGTGGCGCAATCTCGGCTCACTGCAAGCTCCACCTCCTGGTTAATGCCATTCTCCTGCCTTAGTCTCCTGAGTAGCTGGGACTACAGGTGCCCGCCACCACGCCCAGCTATTTTTTATTTTTATTTTTATTTTTAGTAGAGATGGGGTTTCACCCTGTTAGCCAGGATGGTCTTGATATCCTGACCTTGTGGTCTGCCTGCCTCAGCCTCGCAAAGTGCTGGGATTACAGGCGTGAGCCAATGCACCCGGCCTTATCTTTGTTTTTATTGCATTTGCTTTTGTGTTCTTGGTCATGAGATCCTTGCATAAGCTAGTGTCTAGAAGGGTTTTTCCAATGTTATCTTCTAGAATTTTCATAGTTTCAGGTTTTAGATTTAAGTTCTTAATCCATCTTGAGTTGATTTTTATATAAAGTGAAAGATAAGGATCCAGTTTCATTCTCCTACATGTGGCTAGCCAATTGTCCCAGCACCATTTGTTGAAAAGGGTGTCCTTTCTCCACTTTATGTTTTTGTTTGCTTTGTCGAGGATCAGTGGGCTGTAAGTATTTGGGTTTATTTCTGGGTTCTCTATTCTGTTCCATTGATTTTTGTGCCTATTTTTACACCAGTACCATACTGTTTTGGTGACTATGGCCTTATAGTGTAGTTTGAAATCAGATAGTGTGATGCCTCCAGATTTGTTCTTTTTGCTTAGTCTTGCATCGGCTATGCAGGCATTTTTTTTTTGGTTCCATATGAATTTAAAATTTTTTTTTCTAGTACTGTGAAGAATGATGGTGGTATTTTGATGGGGATTGCATTGAATTTGTACATTGATTTTGGCAGTATGGTCATTTTCACAATATTGATTCTATGCATCCATGAGCATGAAATGTGTTTCCATTTGTACTTGTTGTTTATGATTTCTTTCATCAGTGTTTTGTAGTTTTCCTTGTAGAGGTCTTTCACCTCCTTGGTTAGGTATAGTCCTAAGTATTTTAATTTTTTTGCAGCTATTGTAAAAGGGGTTGAGTTCTTGATTTGATTCTCTGCTTGATCGCTGTTGGTGTATAGAAGAGCTACTGATTTGTGTAATTAATATTGTATCTGGAAATTTTGCTGACTTCTTTTATCAGTTCTACAAGCTTTCTGGAGGAGTCCTTAGGGTTTTCAAGTTAAATGATCATATCATCAGCAAACAGTGACAGTTTGGATTTCTCTTTACTGATTTAGTTTCTTTCTCTTGTCTGATTGCTCTGGCTAGGACTTCCAGTACTGTGTTGAAGAGGAGTGGTGAGAGTGGGCATCCATGCATCCATGTCTTATTCCAATTCTCAGAGGTAATGCTTCCAACTGTTCCCATTCAGTATTATGTTGGCCGTGGTTTTGTCATGGACATTTTCAAGACGGACTATATGTTAGAACATAAAGTAAGCCTCCATACATTTAATAACTATTGAAGTACTCCTGATGGTTAATACTGAGTGTCAACTTGATTGGATTGAAGGATGCAAGGTATTGTTTCTGGGTTTGTCTGTGAGGGTGTTGCCAAAGGAGATTAACATTTGAGTCAGTGGACTGGGAAAGGCAGAGGCATCCTTAATCTGGGTGGGCACAATCTAATCAGCTGCCATCATGGCCAGAATAAAAAGCAGGCAGAAGAAAATGAAGAGACTAGACTGGCTTAGCCTGCCAGCCTACATCTTTCTCCTGTGCTGGATGTTTCCTACCCCTGAACATCGGACTCCAAGTACTTCAGCTTTGGAACTCAAACTGGCTTCCTTGCTCCTCAGCTTGCACATGACCTACTGTGGGACCTTGTGATCATGTGAGTTAATGCTCCTTAATAAACTCCCTTTTATATATACATCTATCCTATAAATTCTGTCCCTCTAGAGAACCCTAATACAATATTTAACGATTTTAATAATGTGTTCTGTGACCATAGTGGAATTAAATTTAGAAATTTATAGAAATAAGAGAATGAAATCTAGGAAATTCACAAGTATGTAAAAATAAACAACACTTAGTATTTAATAATGCTTTAGTTGTTGCAACTTTTTAACAACTAATTCATCAAGAAGAAAATCACAAAGAAAATTAAAAGTTACTTTGAGATGAATCCAAATTATAATATAATATACAAAACTTATGTAGCTAAAATTGTGTCAAAAAATAAATATATTGCTATAAATATCTATATTAGAAGAGTAGGAAGATTTCAAATCAATAACCTAAACTTCTGTATTAATAAACTGAAGATATAAGAGAATACTAACCATAGAACAAGCAAAACTAAGAAAAAAATAAAAACGAGCAAAACTAAATAACAAGGATAAGAGAAAAAAAATAAAATAATCAATGAAGCCAAATATTTGTTATTCAAAAATATTAACAAAATCAGCAAACCTTATGCTACATGTACCAAGAAAAGAGAGAGAACTAAAATTACTAAAACCGAGAATGGAAAGGGGCATATCAGTATAGGACATAGAGAAGAAAAAATTATTTAAAAAGACTTTTATGCCAAAAAATTAGATAATGTAGATGAAACAAAAGTTCTTAGAAAGAAACAAGCACCATAAACTGACTGAACGAGAAATATAAATCTAAATAAACTTATGAAAGTATAAAAGTTAAATTAGTAAGCTAAATACTTCCCACAAATCAAATTCTGTGGCTTTACTTTTTAATTTTACCAAATATTTAAAAAAGAACTGTAACAGTCTCTCAAAAACTCTTACAAATACTAGAACATTTTCAAATTCATTGTAGGGCCAGTATTAACTTGATATTAAAACCAGACAAAGACATCACAAGAAAAATAAACTTTAGACTAAAATCTCTTATGAACATGGACAAAAATTTCCTCAATCCTAACTAATCAAATTCACAATATGTAAAAATGATTATATGTCAACCAGGAAAGTTATCCTTTGTTCCTGACAGTATAACATGATTTATCCCTGAAATCCAAAATTAATTTAAATTATAAAAGCCAATCAATGTAAGAAATCATCATATTCATAGAAAAAGGACGAAAACTAGACGGTCATCTCAATAGTTGCAGAAAAAGCATTTGACAAAATCAAACACCGTTTCATAATTAAAAACAAAAACTCAACCGGCTGTGATAAGTCCACATCTAATATCGTATTTCATGGTCAAAGACTAAATGCTTTTTCCTCCTTTCAGCTTGTAAATCTCTTTAGTTCCACTGTTCTTGCACCATTATTGAGTTGTGTGGGGGCTTTACTAAATCTGTGTATCCATATTTTCAAGAGAAGAGAGGTGAGAAGGTGTGTTCCATCCTTATGCCCCTGGGAGTGTTTCTATTGCTTCCTGCTATGAAATTCTTTAGGCCTAAGAAACTTGCATGATAAAGATGATTTTTTTCCTCATATCAGTAAAAAAATGTAGAGCTGTCTTAAAATAACCCCAAAACAAAATTAAACTATAGAAAACTCCATGTATAACCCTGAATGTGGAATTAAATTTGTGTTATCTGAGCTGGTTCTACCTCTCTTGGACAACCGTTAAAGTTTAAACCTGTAGTTTTGCAAAAACTCTGTATCTTTTGTAGAGCACTCTGTACTCAGCTGCCTTGCTTGTTAACAGTGGGAAGACCTACTTTAGTATTTATGTGTTAAAGTCCTCTTTCCATAAAGATAATTTCCATGATGCTCAAAATTATTTTCTTTCAGTCATATCTGCTTACAAAAACCTTAACATCTACAGTTCAAAGCCTAGCAGATTCAACTTGGAATTGTATTAAAAACAAAAACAAAGTATACCTTTGTTCTAACCTGCAGTATATGGTTAAGCCTGGTAGATCCCTTGCAGCTAGCCTATTTTGAGGCCTCACATCATAGCTGAATTTACTGAACCCTGCAGTCTGTACCTTTTCTGGCCCTCACTTTTGATGAAGGCCTCAGCCTCTGAATTTGCTGACATCCACGTGCCTTTGTTAAAGTTCTGCAGTTTTGCTGAGAACTGTATACCACTTGTGTAAGGCTTAGTGCTGTTACAACTGCGCTTTATAGAAATCGTCACTTGACATTTGACAAAGCTGTTACATGCTATAATGACTGACAAAGATAAAAATCCTTCTGGCTTACACCTAAATCCTGAAGCTGTCTACCCAGGTTTCAACAGTTACAAGCCAGATGTGGCTAATTATATTTTCTGAACATAGTTTTAAGAATATCTTTCACCTCACATACTCTTCTACATTCTGATTTTGCCATTTTTTTTTTCATGTAGAAGTAGAGACTAATTCCCTCCCCTTTGAATCTGGGCAGTCCCAGTGACTTGCTTAACACATAAAATATGGCAGTGGTAGGATCTTGGATTTCTGAAGCTGTATTGTGAGAAGTCTTGCAGCATCCACCTGGATCTCTTAAAATAATCTTTTTGGAAGCCAGCCATCAACTAAAAAGTATAGCTAATTTGAGACCATCATATTGTGTTATGTTCAAGCCACATGGAGAAGACATGGAATATCAGACACTATGTCTGAGAGAGAAAGGCAAAGAAGCATGGAGGTACCAGGAATGTGTGTGAGGATACCACCTTGGAAGTGAAAATTCCAGACCCCACTGCCCCAGGTGATGCCACAAAGACACACTGTCTAAAATTTTTGGATAGTTTCTGTTTGTAGTAATAGATAACCAGAGCATGGGTGTACAGATATAAAAACTGCCGTCAATCTTAAAGTATTATTTATCTCTCCAACTGGAGGTTACCTGTTGAGGTTTCTAAATACGTTGCTCAATACACCAGATGTTGTTTTGAGTTCAACTTTTGCCCCTCCTGCTATACTAGGCTTCCTCCCCCAAGGAAAATGCCTGGTACGCTGAAACTTACAGCATGGTGGAGGGTACACATTCTCTGCCATACAGTATTTCATCAAAAGAAGTATAGGCATTGATTACAAATAAATGTTACTTTCTTGTTCCAGATTTACCATTCAGACAAGTTACTCTTCTTATTTTATTTACTTAGAGACAGGATCTTTCTCTGTCCCCCAGCCTGGAGTGCCGTGACATGATCCTAGCTCACTGAGTCCTTGAACTCCTGGGCTCAAGCGATCCTCCTGCTTCAGCCTCCCAAGTAGTTAGGATAACGGGCATGAGTCATGGTGTACCATCTAGACAAGTCACTCTTTATCATGGACAAAAATGAGTGAAGGTGGAGGAAGGAGGTATATGAAAAATTTCTGAACCTTCAGCTCAATTTTGCTGTGAGTCTAAAACTGCTCTAAAAAATAAAGTCTGTGTTTTTTTTTAAAAGCCTACCAATGAATAAAAATATAGACAGGAGAGATCAAGAGCGTTAAATACTACAAAAATAGATGGTCCACAAAAAATAAGAAAGGGATGCAGTCATTTATCCACCTCCACCTCTCGCCAACAATCAGAATGAATAAGTCAAATAACTTTCTGGACAATGCAGTCTGAGAAAGGAAAAGATAATGACACCTAAATAACATAAAGTTCCGTCTTCATTCCATTACAATCAGTATGTTAATTAACACTAATTTGGCTGCAATTTAGTGATAGCCACTTAAGCTAGCTCAAGAATTGGTTATGAGGATCAAAGCAGGAATATAGCTGGGCCTCAGGACATAGCTTATGCTCTTATCTCTGCCCCTCCATGTATGTTATCTTCTTTCTCATTTTTCAAGCAGATCTGCTTTTTCTCTTTCACAAACTATATGGCAGAGAAAAAAATTCCTTTTTTTTTTTCCAGTTCCAAATTCCTGGTGATTGAGGCAGCTGTGGGAACACAGAGCCCAGTGCTTCTTTCTGGACTGGAGTATGGTGTGGGAATATGGCCATATTACACGAGTGCTAGGAAATGACTACCTTAAAATCAAGCAACATTTCCAAGATAGTACCTTAGAAATATTAATAAGTAATCAAGCATGCATGTATTACAATCATCAAAGGTTTTGTGATAGGATGCTCTGTATTGAAAGCTCACTTAGGAATCCAGGACGACACTCATGTGTCAAGTAGAAGAGACCACAGTGAAAATTGTAGAAAATTAGTAGAGGCATTTGGAGAAAAATATGGATTTACAAGAGTATTTTGCCTACTTCCAAGATGCTATCTGAGGACAAGAAATAGGGAACACATTTTCTGGAAGATGTGGCCCGCATAACCTGCCAGAAGCTAAAATGTGTATGCAATTTGTATAGTCTATCTTCCTTGGGCAGCAGGGAAGTAGTTTGAATTACCAAGCCAAATCACCTTGAAATCTTGATTAGGTGTCTATGGAAACATTCAAACAATATGATTGATATAACTGCAATAGGTGTCTTCTGCTAACTGAATTGGAAGTCATACAGCCTGTTCAATATATCAGATAGTGCTCAGCTTGCAGTATGCCTCATGAAATATGTCAGGAAACCAACTAACTAGGAAAATTGACCAAAAAATAATTACTTAGTATGTTTCAAATGTTTCATGTATGACTCTAATGATATCTCTGAAGAAAATGTCCCATGGCATATATGTACTTCTTCATAGTAGATAAAGTAAGTCGGAGTCCTTAATATGGGTGTAATAAATACTCTCATTGATTGAAACCTAAGAAATGTTCAACAGCTATAAATACTCTTGGCAGGATTTAACGCCGTACATTCCTTAGAATGATAGGAAACATATGCATTGTTAAGATACTTAACACATAGAATCAACAGAATCTGGAAATATTAGCACAGTATTAGATGTCATTTTAATTTCTTAGGGTTGCCATAAGAAAGTATCATAAACTGAGTGGCTAAAACAATAGAGGTTCATTCTCTCACAGTTGTAGACGATAGAAGCTCAATATCAAGATGTTGGCAGGGCCTTGCTCCCTTTGAAGTCTCTAGGGGAGAATCTTTCCTTGTTTCTTCTACCTCCAAATATTTTTTGGCATGTGGCAGTATAAGTTTAATCTCTGCTTCCATTTTCACACATCCATCTTTCCTCTATGTCTCTGTGTCCCCATGTCTCATCTTCATATGACACTTACCTCACTGTGTCTCTGTTTTCTCTTCTTATAAAAACAGCAGTTCTTATACTGGATTAGAGCCCAATCTAGTCTAACATGAACTCATCTTAATTTGATTACATCTACAAAGTACATATTTTCAAATAAGGTCACACTCATAGATAATGGCTATTACACCTCCATATATCTAAAAAGGGGACACAATTCAATGCACAATAGATGTTTCCGTTATATGTTAAATTGCCAACTGATACACTGCTAAATTCTTAAATTGATAATTTTCAAGAAATCCAGCATTTGATCTTGCTTGCTGCTTTTGAACAGGGGATCAGGTATGTACACAGATTTCACGTTCTTTTCAAAGGAACTAGACTAAAAGTCCTTTTCGCTTTAGTGAAAAATAGATAATTTAATGTTTTTAAATCCAAGAATTAACACTATTTATATAGGTAACTATAAAAGATAAAAGCAGTTGAATAATAGCCCCTCACTATAATGAAAGCCAGAGCAAGTACCACTATTTTGGTATACTCAAAACATACTGAGTCAAAAAAATACTGCATTAAGAAAGATTTAATGGGCCATGAGAACATAAAAGTAATGTATTTTTTTATACTCCATTTGAGCATTCTTAGAAGAAAAGCTCTTCATGCTTGGTGAGTAGTTTATGGGTCTTAGAGGCCCCTGTAAATGTTTGTGTTGATTTCTGTACTTTTGGAGGTAGCTACTTTCATTAGAAAAGGAGCTTGGTTTTTGGGTGACAGATACTGTGACATAAAATCAGTTTTTCTTCCCGTTTAAAAATGTACTTCATATTGCAGCCATACTTTTAAAAGAAATATTACCATATAAAAACACTGCATTGCTACATGTGTTTATTCATTCAATAAGTATTTATAGACTCCCTAAATGTGCCAAAACTTTTGCTAACAATTAAGTGTGGTAATATATTTTAAAGTGCTGCAGTAAAATGAATATTTAACTGTGTCTTAAAAACCTTGCTTCAAACATAGTGTTACGCTTGGGAACTTGAGATTTGGAGGAACAGGGACCTAGATATGAGTTCTTGCTCTACAATTTGCTGGTTATCTGAAATTATGTAACTTCTGTAAATTTCGGTTTGATCAATTGAAAAGTGAAAATAACAGCCTCATCCTTATTTAATAGAATTGTCTTTAAATAACATTCACATGTAAAAGCATTTTGCAAAATAACCAGGTGCATTCCATATTTGTTAACTACTGTTATTCCTGTTTACTTTTATTATCTTAATAATTATCAAAATTAATGTTCAAAGAACATACAGATGGTTAAGCCTAATATATACATATGTGTGTACGTATGTATATATGTATGTATAATTTCCTAGGAATACCTAATAATGATGAGAAATGACAAACTCGAAAGACTTAAAATAACAGAAAATATATTCTCACAATTCCAAGGAATAGAAGTTTCTGCCATTTCTAAGGTGTGCAGAGTTCTTGAATAGGCAGAATACCAAATAATTCTCAGGCTCAGCAAACATCTGACCTGGTACACTGAAAAGAAAATAAAAGAGTCAATAAAAGGTGTGGAATTAAAGACAGATCAAATCTTTCTTTCACTTGGCAAAACTCAGCTTATTATATCTGTAATTACAATATTAAAAGATGTAGATTAAGACTGTGATAGTATTCTGTTTAATTTAAAATGGAAAAAAGTAGAATATAATGATTTTGAGTAGTGGTTTCCAATGTCTGTATTTGAGAGGAAAATATTTTAAAGCTTACAGGAAATTTATACTCATTTAATTATTGATTTGTGATTTCATGGTTTCTATTAGTACAGTAGGACATATATATATATAAGTTATATGTAATAGATACACATATGGTATAGGAGCTAATTTTTTGACAAAATTGTGTAAATATGTTATATACAACAGGTGGTTTTGAAATATAAATACTTAGATCTAAAATTTTATTGATAGAAGTATGTAGTGTGTTAAATATGTGGAAAATACTGGCTTAGAACATAGCTTTACAGTTCTATTTTTATATGCTTATATAATTATATATGCATTTATCAACTATTTACTGAATGGATCTATTTGACAGATAGTATCAAAATATAGTAGAACTTTTTTAGGTGTCGAAATATAGTATGAACTTTTTCCTTATTAGAGGCTTTAAGTACATCAGCTTGTGTCATTTTTGATTGCTTTTCTAATTCTGAAAAATTAATATGTGATTTTTATTTTGTTTTTCCTAAAAGCTAATTGATGTGTGTTTAATGCTGATATGGATATTGACAACTGCTTATGAGACAAGCAACCGTCAGTCAAAATAATAAACCAATAACCCAGAAATGAAAATGTCAATAGAAGCACCAAAAAAAAAAAAAAAGAAATATAATATAAACAGAACAATGTAACTGCTTTCGTGGAGTTTACATGCTAATAAGGGAGAAAGCCAAGAGACAAATTTCTGTCTGGCATAACAAGGTATAATACATCATGAGAATAAAAATAAATAAAAGAATATAAGAAATGATTTATTAAATGATAAAAATTTATAATTTGCACTTTATTAAAATTAAAAAGTTCTGGTCTATTAAAGACACCGTTAAAATGGTTAAAAGACAAGAAAAAGACTGGAAGAAAATATTTGCAAAACATATATAAGAAAACACTTGCAAATTATATCTAATAAAGGGTTAACATAGAAAGAACTATTACAACTTAACAACAAAAAAGCACATAGCCTGATGAAAAAGTTGGCAAATAATTTGAATGGACATTTATTTAAAGATAATATACAAATGACCAACAAGGATATGAAAATATACTAAATATAGTTAATCATTAGGAAAATGAAAATCAAAACCACACTGAGGTACTATCTCATACCCATTAGAATGGCTACTGTTTTTTGGAAAAAATACCAAGTGTTGGCTAGCATGTGGAGAAGTTGGAATCCTATCTACTCTTGATGGGAATTTAGAATGTTGTAGCTGTTACAAAAAATGTATGGTAGTTTCTCAAAAAATTAAAAATATAACATAAGATTCAGAAATTTCACTCTTGAGTTTACATACAAAAGAACTGAAAGCAGGATTTTGAAGAGATCTTTAGACAACCATGTTCATCACAGCACAATTCTCCATAGCCAAAAGATGACAGCAACCCAAGTGTCTGTCAATAGAAGAATGGATTAACAAAATGTGGATTCATAATTCTATGAATATGAAATGTTACTCAGCCCTAAGAAGGAAGGAAATTATGACAAATGGTACAATATGGATGGACTTTAAGGGCATTATACTAAGTCAAATAAGCCAGTCATAAATTTATATTCAGAGTAGTCAAAATAATAGAAATGGAAAGTTGAATGCTGGTTGCCAGTGACTGAGAGGAGGAGGATATGAGGAGTTGTTGTTTAATGAGTACAAAGTTTCAGTGTTTGTGTGTGTGTGAGAAACTTGTTGTTTTGTTTGTTTGTTTGTTTTGTGAGTCTTGCTGTATCACCCAGGCTGGAGTGCAGTGGCAAGACCTGCACTTGCAAAACTCACTGCAACCTCCGCCTCCCAGGTTCAAGCAATGTTCCTGCCTCAGCCTCCCAAGTAGCTGGGACTATGGACACATGCCACCATGCCTGGCTAATTTTTGTAATTTTAGTAGAGACAGGGTTTTGCCATGTGGCCCAGGCTTGCCTCAAACTCCTGACCTCAAATGATTCACCTGCCTCGGCCTCCCAATGTGCTGGGATTACAGGTGTGAGCCACTGCGTCTGGCGCAATGTTTCATTTTTGCAAGATTAAAAAAGTTCTGGAGATTGGTTGCATACTGTGGTTATACATAATACTAGTAATCTGTACACTTAAAAATGATTAAGATGGTAAATTTTGTTATAGATTTTTATTGCCTCAATAGATTTGTTTAATTTAATTTTGTTGCCAAATAGATTTAAAAAAGCCCTGAGAATACTAATTGGTGTTGAAGATGTGGAGAACAAGAACTCTGATTCATTTCTGTTAGGGATGATACATGGTATAGCCACTTTGGAGGACAGTTTGGTAGTTTCTTACAAAGCTAAACATAGTATTACCATAGAATCCAGCAATTATGCTCCTAGGTACTCATCCACCTGATTTGAAAACTTGTTCACATAAATACTTGTATATAAATATGTATATCAGCTTTATTTATAATTGTCAAAAACTGGAAGCAACCAATATTCCCTTTAAAATATTAATAGATAAACAACCTGTGGAGTATCTATGCAATGAAATCTTATTCGGTCCAAAATAAATATTATTCAGCCATAAAAATGATGACATTCTGTCATTTGCAGCAACATGGGTGGGATTAGAGTTCATTTTGTTAGATGAAATAAGCCAGGCACAGAAAGACAAATATCACATATATTTATTCATGTTGGAATCACAAACAGTGAATCTCACAGAGTAGAGAGTAGGATGGTGATTATCAGAGGGTGAGAAGGGTAGTGGGGATGAGTGATGAAGAGCAGTTGGTTAATGGGTACAAAAATACAGTTAAATAGAAGAAATAAGTTTAAATAACAGGTGAAAGAGAAGAATTAGAATGTTTCCAACACAAAGAAAAGATAAATGTTTGAATTTACAGATATTGCAATCACCCTGATTTGATAATTGCAGATTGTATACATGCATCAAAATATTACATATACCCCCAAAATATGTACAACTATTATATATCAATAAAAATAATCCACTAATTCAGAAAAGTCAAATGAATTTTATATGTATTTTAATGTGTATTACACATTATTGAGTAAAAGGAGATGGTCTGACAAGCTTTATACTATATGATTCCATTTGTGTGACATTTTGAAAAAATTAAACCTGTAGAGGCAGCAAAAAAGATCAGTAGTTTCCAGACTTTTAGAACAGGAGTGCAGGGCTTTGAATAGATGAAACACATGATTTTTAGGGTTCTGAAACTGTTTTGTATGACACCTTAATTGTGGGTACATGAAACTATGCATTTGTCAAAATTCATTGAAATTTTCAGCACAAAGAATGAAACTTATTGTATACATTTTTAACAATTTTATTTCATTTTATTTTTTTCTGGGATACATGATCAGGGCATGCAGGCTTGTTACTTAGGTAAATGTGTGCCATGGTGGTTTGCTGCACCTATCAACCTATCACCTAGGTATTAGGCCCAGCATGCATTAGCTATTTATCCTGATGCTCTCCCTCCCCTAACCCCTCAACATGCTCCAGTGTGTGTTGTTCCCCTCCCTGTGTCCATGTATTCTCATTGTTCAGCTTCCACTTACAAATGAGAACATGCGGTATTTGATTTTTGGTTCCTCTGGTAGTTTGCTGAGGATAATGGCTTCCAGCTCCATCCATGTCTCTGCGAAGGATAGGATCTCATTACTTTTTATGGCTGCATAGTATTCCATGGTGTATATGTACCACATTTTTATCCAGTGTACCATTGATGAATATTTGGGTTGATTCTGTGTCTTTGCTATTGTGAATAGTGCTGCAGTGAACATACATGTGCATGTGCCTTTATAATAGAATGATTTATATTCCTTTGGGTGTATACCCAGTAATTGATTGCTGGGTCAAATGGTAATTCTGGTTCTAGGTCTTTGAGGAATCACCACACTGTCTTCAACAATGGTTGAACTAATTTACATTTCCACCAAGTGTAAAGGCATTCCTATTTCTCCACAGCCTTGCCATCATTTGTTGTGTCTTGACTTTTTAATAATCGCCACTCTGACTGGTGGGAGATGGTATCTCATTATGCTTTTGATTTGCATTTCTGTAATGATCAGTAATGTTGAGCCTTTTTTAATATATTAATTGGCCGCATAAATGTCTTCTTTTGAGAATTGTCTGTTCATGTCCTTTGCCCACTTTTTAATGGAGCTGTTTGTTTTTTTCTTGTAAATTTGTTTAAGTTCCTTGTAGATTCTGGGTATTAGACCTTTGTCAGATGGATAGATTGCAAAACTTTTCTCCCGTTCTGTAGGTTGTCTGTTCACTCTGATGATAGTCAACCTAGTTAATATTCATTCATTAATTATAAGAAATATATCATACTAATGTAAGTTGTCAATAATAGGAGTAATTGGGTTCAGTATATATGGGAATTTTCTGTGCTATCTTCACATTTTTTCTGTAATTATAAAACTATTCTCAAGAATAAAGTTTGTTAAAAACAAACAAACACATGAAAGCATAAATGAGTAAATCAGGATCAGTGATCAGAGAGCCTGGGAGAGCTAGAAGTCATGGTGTAGCTTCCCTGACATGGTGACTTTTGGGAAAAGAATTATGTAAAGTAAGGATGTGCTCTATGTAGATATATTAGGAAAAGCAATCCATTTGGAGAGAGCAATAAGAATAAATGTATTGAGGTAAGAATTAGAAACTTACCTTGGATATAGTAACATAGAGATAGTTTATAACCTTCTTAGAACTCTTTAGTAGAGAGGAAGAGATAAAAATCTGATTACAGTTTACTTAAGGTAGGCCAGAAGCAGAAAAGTAGATAAAGCATTTGTAGACAACTCTAAAATTTTGTACCATAGACAGGAACAAGCTTATGGGCTAGTAACTGGAGGGTGATGTGTAGTGAAATGAAGTTTGTTGTTGTTTTTTGTCCTTTGTTTTGGTTTTGATAAGACTGATAATCTTATTGTGGATAATGATTTGATGATAGAGGTGTTCCAGTATGAAGGGAAGATATAAGTTAATATAGGAGAAAGAGAAGAATAAAATATTTCAGAAACAAATTATTTTCATAAAGGAATAGAAGAGGAGCAGCAGCATCCACAGAAACAGGAGGCAGCGCAGAGAGTGCAGATTCAGATGGAGGGAGGTGAGTTAAACAGTCATGGCAGGCTGGGTGCAGTGACTCATGCCTGTACTCCCAGCACTATGGGAGGCTGAGGCAGGCAGGTCACCTGAGGTCGGGAGTTCAGGACCAGCCTGGCCAACATGGTGAAACCCCATCTCTACTAAAAATAAAAATAAAAAAAAATAGCGGGGATGGTGGCAGGCGCCTGTAATCCCAGCTACTTGGGAGGCTGAGGGAGAAGAAACACTTGAACCCAGGAGATGGAGGTTGCAGTGATCCTTGATCGGGCCACTGCATTCCAGCCTGGGCGACACAGTGATACTCTGTCTCAAAAAATAAAGAGTCATGGCAGCATATGGAACATCTCTTCTCATTGCCCACATTTTCTCTAAAAAATAAGAACCAAGGCGAACAACAAAGAACAGGGAATGTGGGGTTTGGAGGTGGCTTTGGAAGTTTGAGAAGTACATAGAACGTTTTAACTAATTATATTTGCGGTGTAAGAGAATGAATTAATTAAAGAAACAAAGCAAGATTGTCAGGAATCACTACGGGGAAATTTAAAATTTAAGGTAATACATTTGAATGGAGATGGGTAAACATAGTGGTTTTGCACGTGTGCAGTAGCAATGACTCAGGTTTGAAAGACAATTAAAATTTTGTCAGGTTGAGTATGGTTGAGGAAGAAAGTTCTAAGTGGACTTTATGTGCAGGTAGAAGAGGGGCAAGACCGTGAAGCAGTTAATGGACAGAAAATGATTGTAGAGTTTGTTTAAAAGTGTAAAGTTTAAGTATGGTGATTTCAAAGAATTTATAGTAATAGAGTGAAAAAGCAGGAAATGAGAAGGCATGTGAAATACTAACAGGTAGTAATCAGAAAGTGAGATGCTTGAAATTTTGCCATGCAGAGGGCACAATTAGTAATTATTAAGTTGCGGTTATTAAAGATATATGATCATAGGTACCATTAGTTAAGATAACATGAAGGACCAGATGATTAGAAATGAGGAACTTAGGACTACAAAGGAATCTTCTTCCTGGATATGAGTTTGGTGGTCGGTTCTTTCTGTGTCATCTTAAAGGCCTTAATCTCTCTAATCCTATCAGGTATAAAATGAGGATAATAATAACACTCATCTCAGAGATATTTTGAGAGTTAAATAATAATAATCATAATAATTATGATAATTATAACTGAAATTTATTTATTAGACATTAACTTTGTTGTAAGCAATGTATGTGTCATAAATTAATTTTATAAAACTCCATATCACTAACACAGAGTGTTCTCTCACCATATATATGTTACAATTACTACTTGCAAAATATAATCATATTTACAGTCTTAACTAAACAACAACAAAACTTGTTAAACTTTAGGTGACTAGGAAGCCCCTTCCTCCCTATTGCTCTCAGTCCTCTCCCAGTCTTGCTCCTGATAGAATTCCCATGCCTATACATTTCTAGTTTGTTGCCTCTGTGACAATGGCTAAAAATGCAGAGCTTTATTTTATTCAGACTTATTTGTGTTAAGTATTAGAGCATCCTCCTGCCTACAGAATGATCTACCCCAGTTTGTAGTCTCCTGGCATTATTGAATCATTTCATATTCCCTGGATTGCAAAGCCACCTGTATAATTTGTGGAATCTAGAGCAAAATAAAAATGTTCGAAATACAGAAATATACTCCTATTAAAGATACAAAATATAAAGCTTTTTTCCTTTCTTTGTGAAATGTCTTTAATTGCCATGGTATGTCCTATTTGTTATATAACATCATTGTAAGGAAAAAAATAAACTTTTACATTTTAGCATTAATTTTACTGTTTACATTGTGCAATGCCAATTTTAAATGCAAATATAAGAGATTTCAACTCATGGTGAATTACTGATATTGTGCAACTTATACAAAGTAGCTTCTTTCAAATATGTATTGCACTAATACCAGAATCATGGAAATGCACAAAAGTAACTCACGTGTTATTTCACTTCTTGATTCACGCATATTCCACCAATACACTCTATATTTGCCCTATTGATGAGAAAGTAAGAACTGAACACAGAAGTAACTTTGTGTTGCCCTGTTATTTCCTTTTCTTCTACATCGTCATTTTCAAGGTAAGAAAGAGTATGACAGAGTTCGTTTGTTGTTTCTGTTTCTCAGAGTGTCATTGCCTTCTTACTGCATTTAAAACAAGTTCTTTTGATAGCAGAACACATGGCCTCTTGGGACTATTAGTTTACTTAGTGATAGATGCAACACACCTTGTGTTCCTTTTGAGTCTCAGTGAACTCCTACACATTGTGAGTCCATCAGAATTCTGTGCATATGGGCCACTGTGAATGCCATGTGAGAACAGGGTGGTGAGGAATAAGAGCAGACATACATTATGCAGATCTCTTCTGTGCATGGGCATACTCGATTGCTCCATCTGACTTCACTTACAAAACACAAACTGAATGATAAAATTATTAAGGTGTACACAATAGAGAGGCAGAGCCTTAAACCGAGTGGGGGCTCTTTGGAAGGCAAGGCCATATGGAACTGCACAGGATACATGTCCATGAAGCTGGCTCTGCATGAATGCTTCATTTGCTGAATTCATGTCATACACTTAGAAAATGATACTAGTGTATATAATAAGTAAGTGAGAGGTGTGTTTGAGTAAAGGAAAAGAAACACCCACTTCATGACATTTCTTTTTTTTTTTTTCTGTTCTCGTTCTGCTTGTCTTTCTATACACTCTATATGAGGCTTTTCTTCTCATGTAATTCCCGACTTAGCAAAAGTCTGAGCTCAATGAATCTTAAAGTTGAACAACTACCTTAGAGATATCCGACATGTGTTTCACTTGATATGGCCTCAGTTGCTACAATTTCTCCAAGACACACTGCTTTTCTCCATCTTAAGTATGAAAGTTTTCTCAGACCTGGATGAATAAAGGTGTTTATTTATCACTCAAGAGGACCACTCATACGTGTCTGAGGAAGGAAGAGTTTAGTGGTTAAAATCATAGCCTCTGAAGGCAAACTTCCTGGTTTTAAATCTCAACATTGTCACTTAGTACCAGTGTGTTATTACCTACATTACTTACATTCATTTTGCCTCAGTTTCCTAAATCGATAAAATAGTAATAACTGTGTATCTAAATCATGGGGGTGCTATAAGGATTAAATGAGATAGTATGAGTAAAAGACATAGTAAGTGCTTAACACAGCATCAATATTCAATCAGTGGAAGTCATGATTTTCTTAAGTGTTTGGTAGACATATAGTCTCCTTAATGTTATCTTTAAATTATTTGCAGGTTTTATTACATATGCCTTACCTTTTCTATTTCCCAACACTGCTACTGTAATTTTTCTATTTTATTTAATTATTCCTTACAATTCAATGGTATTTAGGGATCGAGGATGGATAAAATTAATGGCTCAACTCACCATCTTGAAAACAAAATTGCTTGCTACTATGTAGTTTATAAAAAAAAACACATTTCTACAACAATTACTATTTATCACAAATATTTCAAAGAAGAAACAGAGGCCCAGAAATACTGTAAAGCACCTTATATCAGATAACAGGAAATGGTAATATTTGAAAGCACTCCTACTTTAAAGTATCTACATGTTATACTCTGCTGCCTCATTAGGTAGTATAAAGTTTGTTAGGAAAATAATCATAAGCATAAAATTCAAAGAGTAACCCCTCAACATTTATTGCAAGATTAATTTTAGAAAAACAGTAAATGTTCACATATAAGTGGGATGAACAGCATTTGCTTGCCATTACAAAATGGGAAAAATAAAGAAATTTATTGACCATTGGCTGCAAATTTACAAAGGTGATGAAGGTTGCTCACTCATCTAATAAGTTCAGAGGGAAGATACGTAGCAGATTACAGAGAGAATGCTATCCTCATTCAAAGCTCAGACTCTGGAGTCAGAGGCCTCACCGCAGTTTCTAGTACTATCACTTACTAACTCTTATGGTTTTTGAGTAAGTACCTTAACTTCTCCAAGCATCATTTATCTCATCTGTAAAACAGAGAGAATAATAGCAAAGTGGTTGAAATATTTATAACAATCTTTGCCAATTCTTTAAAACATTTTAAACAATTCTAATGCCAAGCATTATTTGTTGTTAATGTTTCGTCTCCTTACCTAAGAGTCTCCCTCATCTTAATTTGTTTGAATTGTACAAGAACATTAAAATCGTCACTAAAACTCACACTTCTATTAAGTCACAAGGTGAGGAATACAAGGACAACAATCTAAATGACAATACAGTCATCTCTCCATATCCACAGGGGATTGATTCCAGTACCCCATGGCTAGCAAAATCTGTAGATGCTCAAGTACTTTTTGTAAAATGGGTGGCATTTGCCTATAACCCAAGCACAGCCTCCTGTATATTTTAAATCATTTCTAGATTGCTTATACCTGGTATCATGTAAGTATTATATTATTTTTAATGTTTACATTATTATTTTTATTGTTTTTGCAAACGTTTTTGATTCATAGTTGGTTGAATTTCTGGATGCAGCACCCACAGATATGGAGGTTCAACTGTATTCCCTTTCAACGTAACTGTGTTGCATTACCAGGAAATAAAATCAAATACATGAAATGGATTGAGATTCTTTAATAATTTTTCCATATGTGTAACTGCAAAAGCAGAATAACATCCCCCCAACACAAAAGATGTCCACTTCCCAATCTCTAGAATCTGTGAATATGTTAACTTACATTGACAAGGGGACTCTGCATATGTGATTAATTAAAAAATCTTAAGATGAGGATATTGGCCTCGATTTTCCTGGTGGGTCTAATGTTATTATATGGGTCCTAATAAGGGAAAGAAAGAGAGAGGCAGGGGAGTCAGACTCAGAGAAAGAGATATGATTACAGAGAGAGGGTCAAAGGGAGATTGCTGGCTTTGAAGATGGAGCAGGAGGCCATGAGCCAAGGAATGTGGGCAGCCTCTAGAAGTTGTAAAAAAGCAAAGGAATAGATTATCTTTCCCATTCTCAGAAGGAATGCAACTTGCCAACACATTATTAGTCCGGTAAAACCCTATTCATATTTCTGACCTCCAGGACTGTAAGATAATAAATTTATGTTTTTTTAAGCAACTAAGTTTGTGGTAATTGGCTACAACACTGGGAACTTAATATAATAACTACAGTAGATAAGTTAATAGAATTAGTTTCTAAAGATATTGTTAAATGTCCTTCTTCCAAATGAGGATTTTCTGTAATGCTAAAAATGGCACTATTTACACATCATGTGAATAGAGGTATACTTTTGTAAACTTTTTATTCTAGTCATGTATTCTTTAAATTTTGCTTGTGAGATTGTCTGCAAATAAAGTGGCAGAAAATTCTCTGAAGTAAAGGACATTGTACTTCTAGCTAAAAATATGAATTTCACAGTGTGGAGGGTGAAAACCAGTTCTCAGTGTTTTAATTTTAACATAATCATCTGCCAATTTTTCTAGTTATAATTTAGTCATAAAGACTATATTTTTTCTATTCAATTATATTTTATCTTTTAAGTTAATATATACAGAATTCATAAAACTACTGCACTCAGAATGCAATTAAATTTGCTTTTAAATTGTGAAATACCCATTTAAATCATTTTTCTTGCCTGACAAGCAGATGTTCAAGAAAACAGCAGCTCCAAATTAAAGTATAACGTGTAGAAAAAAGATACATCCCCTTGTGTGTGAAATCTTAACAATCTTGCTTTAGTTTTTAAAATAGTACTATTATTTTCTTTCCATTTCTCTTTTATTAAAAGCCAAGTTTCTTGTCTGAAAATGTGTCTTTCAGATAGCGGTATTTATTTCTAATACAGCACTTCATCTCCTTGAAGATATAATTAAATGACTTTCAACCAAACACCTTTATTCTGCTGGATTCTCATTTTAAAGAATAAAGTAAAAATTTACTGTATTCTTGTTCTGAGGCCCTTGCTTTGTGCCATGCCAAAAATAAAAATGGCCTATAATAATTTCATCTGGTGTTTTAGAAAACACACTGCATGCCTCTTAGTGGTTTCAAAGAGTGGCACATTTAACTTCTATAAAATTTTGCTCAAAGGAAAGTCTTTGTGGTACATTTTCAAACAATCCATTCTTAGATATAAGAATACCTGTATTTCTAGCTTGATGATCTCTCTTGGACCAAAAATGATGAGTATAATAGGTCCATCAACAAATAAAATGGAACTCAACATTTTCAGGATTCATTTAATAAAGAAAGCCTGGACTTGAGGCAGAAACAGTTGCTAAACTTGTGTTCTGATTAATCGACACTCACAAATATGTTGAAGAAGAAACTTTGAAGATGGGGATGACAGTAGTAAAATTTAATATAAAATTACTCATAAAAACAGGTTGTATCACTTTTCCATTTAAAACTTTAGATGGTCAAGAAAATTACTATGTATTCTAAGAATATATTTCTAAGTAATATTCTGTTTAGTTATTTTCTTTATAAATTTTCATTTTTCTTCTTTAATGAGACATCATACAATTTTATCAGCTACATTTCACTTTCTTTAAGATAGGCTTTGAAAAGAATATAATAAAAAATGGAAAACAAAAGATGCTAATTGTTATACTTAGCATTAGTCTTCCTTTGATTTAGAACCACATATGATAAATACAAATGAATAAATCAGTTTTTTAAATTATAGTTTTAAGAGGATAAACCTTTAGAAAGGAACATGAGGGCGGCACTAGAAACTATAAGATAAAACATTTGAAAAAGAGATTAAGAGTCTAAAAAGATAAATGGTGGAGAAGATGTTCTGAAAATTGGTTCTATCAAGAGTGAAAAATGGATATAAATTCATTGATTTAGAACCTCTTGGAAGTGCATCTTTATTGGAGTGAAACATACATGCCTCAATTATTTTAGCTTCTTTAGTAAAAGTGAACATACAAATAAATATAAGAACCTAGAAAGATCTGGAGATGTAAAGCAAGATTATAATGTATTTTTATTTTAGAAAGAAATGAAGAGAACTTGGAACTAAGGTTTGTTTTTTTGCATCACATAACTGTTTAGACTTCATTAGTAAGGTTACCTACTGAAAAAATAATTTAATTGGTCATTTGCTTATTAAATGTAATTTAATATAACTTTGAAAGTAATAGCAGCAATAAAAACAATATTATACAGTCATGAAAATAACAACAGTGAAAGTCTTCCTAAATATTAATAGCAGATAAAAGTGAATTTTACAAGTCTCTAATCTATAATTATTTGTAAGTTATCTAAACAGAAACTAAAGTTTTCAAATAGCAGCATCAACAGTTTACATGAGAGTATCTTTACCTTTTAATTTTAGGTAATTTATTACTTTCCTCATTTACCTGTGATAGTACAAATATACTGTATCCACAGTTGTTCTATATATTTTCTTTGATAAAATGGCGATGCTTTCTTTATTCAGGATATTTTCATTAAAATCATCAAAGATTTATAAAATAATAGATTTATCTGAAGTTGCAGCATTCTTCCTAAATGTTCCTCACAAAACATTCTGTGTTTCACTGTATCCTGTCAATTATGAAAACAGTAGTAAACTGTTTCATCTTTTTTAAAGTTACTATTTTTATTATTATATTTTAAAAATCATGTGGTTAGGCAGTATACATTTTAATTTTAATTAATTAATTTATTTATTTTGAAACAGAGTCTCCCTCTGTTGCTCAGGCTGGAGTGCAGTGGCATTATCTTGGCTCACTGCAACCTCCACCTCCTGGGTTCAAGCGATTTTCCTGCCCCAGTCTCCTGAGTAGCTGGGATTACAGGCACACACCACCACACTTGGCTAATTTTTGCATTTTTAGTAGAGACGGGGTTTCACCATGTTAGCCACGCTCATCTCGAACTCCTGACCTCAGGTAATACACCCTCCTCAGCCTCCCAAAGTGCTGGGATTACAGGCATAAGCCACCACACCCGGACCATTTTAATTTTTAAATAGCACAGTGCCCGCATGAGTGCATGGCACATAAGTACCCAAGATAAGTGTTTTCAAAGTTAAATGAGTTAATCATTAAACCGATGAATTTATATTAAGTAATGACTTATTTAATGAATTGATTTAAATTGTTTAATACTGGTATTACTGCCAACGAATAATTTTTTTACCTGTTTTCTTACTTTAAAATCATTGTAATCCTGTAATTTTCTTAACATCTGTTAATCAACCTGAAGGGCAAAACAAAAATATTCATATAAAAGTTAAGGATCTACCTAAAAAGAAATTTTATTCTTTTTGGCATATGGTGTATAGACAGCAGCAAGACCATATACATGGATAACAAGTTAATAGTAAAGTCAATAAATTTAAAGGAGTTAGAGAAAGAGAAATCAAGTTCGGAAAGAGGAAGAAGCACATTTGACAGTGATGGGGCATGTACTAACATTTTGAGAACTTATTGGTTATTGAAGAAGGAAGGACACTTCAAATTTGAAGACAGCTTACAAAATACAAAATATGAAAAGGAAGAGATAAATCTGGAAAGTTACCTAAAAGACAATTTAATAAGACTGACAACAAAGGAAAAAGAATGTGAAGGTAAATATTGAGTCAATGGATCATGATTTGGGAGAAAATAATATACTCATTAACGGAAATGAAAAAATAGAGAATAACTTTATGAGAAGAAACAAATAGACATATTTGATATAGTAAAATGAATACATGTTTGACAATATACCAAACGCAATTAGAAATCAGTACATTAATCAAAGTCAGAAATGTAAGTTTAATAGCCTCTCATAAGGAGTAATTTTTATTACAGAAAGAAGAGTAAATGATTATAATGGGGCCTGAGAAATTATCCATTCTAATAGAGGGAATACAAAAAGACAAAGAAATTTCAGAAATGATTATCAGGCAGAAAGAAAAAGAAATAGAAACAGGCTGGGAACAGTGGCTCACACCTGTAATCCCAGCACTTTGGGAGGCTGAGGCGGTCAGATCACTTGAGATCAGGAGTTCAAGACCAGCCTGACCAACATGGTGAAATCCTGTCTGTACTAAAAATACAAAAATTAGCTGGGCATGGTTGCGGGCACCTGTAACCCCAGCTACTTGGGAGGCTGAGACAGGAGAATTGCTTGAACCTGAGAGGCAGAGGTTGCAGTGAGCTGAGATGGCGCCACTGTACTCCAGTTGGTGACAGAGTGAGACTCCCATCTCTAAATAAATAAATAAATAAAAATAGAGACAATAAAAATAGTATCTTTAGTTTGGGCTCCATTAACAAAATCTGAGAAAACTCCAATCTCCATCTTCTTTCTGATCTTAATGTTTCAATTTAAAGTTATGATTCTGCCTGGAAATGGTCACCGGTCTTCCTCTTCCTGGTGGTGTCTCTTCTTCTCGAAACCCAGTGCATTGACTTCTGAGAGCAGATGCTGATACCGTTCTGCCTCTAGGACCATGTGAAGCTGAGTATTACCCTAGGTTCCCATGTTCTTTTGGCACTTTTCAGTGGCATATTCTTTGTCACTTTTTAGTATGAGATAAATATTATCTGCCACTTTTAAGTATAAGCTATCCCCAAATTACCATGCTGAATTCAGGGATAAGTCTCTCCTGTATCTGTATTCTACGCTTGAAAGATACCCTTTTAAATCTATATCTACTCTCTTGTTTCTTTATCCTACTCTTTCTTGGTGTAGCAACTTTCTGTACCCTAAACTTTTCTTTTGTCTCTTGTTTAATTAATTCAGTAGTATTATACAGAGAAAATGCAGCCCTTTAGTTTGAATCTTAATTTTTTACACTTGTTTCTTGGAATCTATCTTTCAATTACCCATGGAGTAGGAGGCCGCTTGAATAGCATCTAGCAGGTTAAACTCAATACATTACTTCTTTCTATTGCTAGACCTAGCCTATATATCTTGTTTTGTGATTTGTTTCCCAGCTTTGGAGATAAAAAATGTTAATTGTTCTCCAGTGGGGTCATGCTTTAACCTGCACTCATTATCTTTATAATAGGATTAAGAAGGGGTATGTCTATGGGTTTTCAGAGTTGACATTTACGACATTCTTGCCAATAATCCATTTGGTGGATAGAGAAGCCAGAGGTGAAGGGTAGGGGTGAAAATTTTAGTAAAAAAAATAGAGCTAGAAGTGTAGACCACCGGAATAATAAACTGAAAAGAAAGAGGCATCAACAAAGTTCATTTGGTTGTTGTACAATTTATATGCTTGTATACAAAAATCAATTCAAGATGGATTAAAGACTTAAACGTTAGACCTAAAACCATAAAAACCCTAGAAGAAAACCTAGGCATTACCATTCAGGACATAGGCATGGGCAAGGACTTCCTGTCTAAAACACGAAAAGCAATGGCAACAAAAGACAAAATTGACAAATGGGATCTAATTAAACTAAAGAGCTTCTGCACAGCAAAAGAAACTACCATCAGAGTGAACAGGCAACCTACAAAATGGGAGAACATTTTCGCAACCTACTCATCTGACAAAGGGCTAATATCCAGAATCTACAATGAACTCAAACAAATTTACAAGAAAAAAACAAACAACCCCATCAAAAAGTGGGCAAAGGACATGAACAGACACTTCTCAAAAGAAGACATTTATGCAGCCAAAAAACATGAAAAAATGCTCATCATCACTGGCCATCAGAGAAATGCAAATCAAAACCACAATGAGATACCATCTCACACCAGTTAGAATGGCAATCATTAAAAAGTCAGGAAACAACAGGTGCTGGAGAGGATGTGGAGAAATAGGAACACTTTTACACTGTTGGTGGGACTGTAAACTAGTTCAACCATTGTGGAAGTCAGTGTGGCGATTCCTCAGGGATCTAGAAGTAGAAATACCATTTGACCCAGCCATCCCATTACTGGGTATATATCCAAAGGACTATAAATCATGCTGCTATAAAGACACATGCACACGTATGTTTATTGCGGCATTATTCACAATAGCAAAGACTTGGAACCAACCCAAATGTCCAACAATGATAGACTGGATTAAGAAAATGTGGCACATATACACCATGGAATACTATGCAGCCATAAAAAATGATGAGTTCATGTCCTTTGTAGGGACATGGATGAAATTGGAAATCATCATTCTCAGTAAACTATTGCAAGAACAAAAAACCAAACACCGCATATTCTCACTCATAGGTGGGAACTGAACAATGAGATCACATGGACACAGGAAGGGTAATATCACACTCTGGGGACTGTGGTGGGGTGGGGGGAGGGGGGAGGGGTAGCATTGGGAGATATACCTAATGCTAGATGACGAGTTAGTGGGTGCAGCGCACCAGCACGGCACATGTATACCTATGTAACTAACCTGCACAATGTGCACATGTACCCTAAAACTTAAAGTATAATTAAAAAAAAAAATCAGCACTACTCTAGCAAATAATACAAATTAAATACTATGATTATACAGTGATATTTCATGTATCCTAAAGAGAGGAATGCAGGTAGGTGACGGAAAAACACTAATAGGAAGGTTTAGGAAATTACTTAACTACTTTACCCAATTCTGTCTCACCTTTTCCATCTCTTTTACTCTCTCTGGAGAATATTTTTTAAAAATAAAGAATTATTTTCATATAATAAAAATGCTCACATTAATGTGAGAGGAATGTGTTGTTTGAAGCACCATAATGTCTGAATTCATTTAATATTCAGAATAAATCTATAAAGGTGGTATTGTTAACATCAACACAGATGATGAGAAACTGAGGTGTAGGAGACTCAAGGAATTTGTCCAAGTGCGCCAACTGGTAAGTGGTGGAGTAGTAGATACAATACCAAGCAACCTAACTCCAGGGCTTACATTATTAACTGTTTCAAAAGTTGAGAGAGCTTTAAGAGTATTAAAAAAAGGAAACATACATATGAAGAACATTATCTTTGGCCGGGCATTGTGGCTCACGCCTGTAATCCCAACACTTTGGGATGCCTAGGCAGGCAGATCACCTGAGGTCAGGAGTTTGAGACCAGCCTGGCCAACATGGTGAAACCCCATCTCCACTAAAAATAGAAAAAATTAGCCGGGCATGGTGGCAGGCGCCTGTAATCCCAGCTACTTGGGAGGCTGAGGCAGGGAGAATCGCTTCAATCCGGGAGGCGGAGGTTGCAGTGAGACAAGATCGCACCATTGCATTCCAGCCTGGGTGACAGAGCGAGACTCAGTCTCAAAGAAACAAACAAACAGAGCATTATCTTCAGGAGATTTGGATTGGAAGTGTACAGGACACTGAAGATTTGATTGAGCAAATCTTCAGATACTAGTAAAAGTAAAAACAAATAAACCTTAATAGAATCATTAAATAAAATTGAGGGTCACTAAAGGAGCATTAGAACATTAATTCATTTATACATTCAACATTTCTTTTTTAACCTCCATCGTATATCAAACCTTGTCCTTGACACTGGGAATACAGCAATGAACAGGAGAGAAAGTTTTATTGTCTCATAGAGTTTATATTTATTTCTAGAAGACAAATGTAAACAAATAAAAACTTAATAAAAGTGCTAATTATGAAAAATAAGTGGTAGAACAATGAAATAGCAGGGTGCTATGGTCTTGATAATTGAAAAGGAAGAACACTGATTTACTTAAATAATGATAGAGTGCATCACTTTGTGGAAGGTATTTCAATTCTGACCTGATAAATGAAAAGGAACTGGCTTTGGGATGATCCAATGTGTAACTCCTTTTAATAAAGTAAGAGATTCAGTCATCAATTAAGAATCTGATGGCAGAAAAAATAAAAAATTTAAAGGAATCTGAAGCAGTTACAGTGGTGAGTGACACTGGTTATGTCCCAAATTTGAGAAAAGAATCATCTAGCAAAAATGAGGGACGACCAAAAGCTAAGTTGATTTGTCAATTTTTAATGGTTATGGTTAACAATATCTGACTTGTAAACCTCACAAGATAAAGGTCACATATGAACATCAGTAAAATACGGAATACATTCCAATTTTATGTAAAAAGTAATGGATTAATTAAACTTCATAGACTGAAAATCTGACATCAATAACAAGTGAATAACACTTTGGAGATATTATTGTGGAGGTTTTGATGGAAGAAAAAAACAGAATAGTCTTAATAATATGTTTTGGAAGATATTTTTGTTTGTGTGATTTTATACATTATAATGCTTTTGGGGATTCAGACTTTTGAAAACACTAAAAACTTATTTATACTCACCAATAGAAATAACAAAATGTTAGATAACTTCATATGAAATTTGGAGTACTTAAACAAGTGCTCAGTTCACTGCAGAATATTACTCATCCCAAATGACAGTAAACAGCATTTCATTCTAGTGTGGGATTATGCCACAATCAATGCTAAAATTAATCAACCTTTCTTGATTAATCAAAATTATATATCATTCTCCTGATTGCAATCACCTATCAAAGAATCATCTTCCACAGTAATTTATATAAAACATAATCAGTTTCAGTGAACCAAAAACTGGAGGTCTATGAACCTAAAAAAACTAGTTATTTCCCATTACCCTCACCATAAAAACAAACAAATGGTAGGATGGACAGGAATAACCTAGTTTGGAAGTTCTAGTTGTTCTTCACCCCACCATGAAACCTATCAAGCACAATCAAACCAAAATCAGATGATAATTATATTAGAGATCATATGCCTAGTCACATCATCATCAGATGATATTATCACTTTTAAAAAAATTTGCAGAAACAAAGCTGTTTTTATCACAATAGTTTGAAGGGCTTTAATTGTACATTGTTCTCACTTTACTAAGAAACAAGTTTAACAATGTAAATAACCTTATGTACTTGAAATGATTGAAATGTAGAGGTCCCTCTCAGCCTGAAGAATTCATTAAAGTGTGGTTCAAGACAGCCAAAATTATCCTGATCTTTATCACATAGGGTTTATTTGTCTAAGGATACTAATACCTCCATTTTGTTTAATTCACATCACCTATCCACCTGAGTTAAATTACCCCTTATAGAAATCTATATTCCTCCAATGAAAACAATGTGGTCCAGTGGAAACTGTTCTTAACCAGCTAGAAAAAAGTAAAATCAAGTTCTGCGATTAACAAGTTCTATTACCATTGTCAAGCAATGTTATTCCTTTGGGCCTCAGTTTATAGACAAAAGGAAATAATAAATTCCATATTTCTTAAATTATGTCACAATATGAAAAGGCAAAATAATGATTTGTCCTTATACCAAACCTGTTGAAAATTAAATATATGAACTTCCTTAAGATTCTTCCACAAACACATTACCTCTGTTAACATTTCGGCTTGTTGCTTACAAGACTGACAATCTATCATGGGCTGTTGTCTCCCTACAGTGAACATATCCCTGCAAAAATTAGAGAAGTGAAACAGAATTATATATTCTAGAACTAACAGATTGAACAGATTGAAGTCTATCTTGAAACTGGTGTGTGTTGAGTGGGTGAGGGTTGCTTGGTGGTACCTGCCACGTGGAGCAGATGGAAACTGGAGGGAACAGAGAGATAATGGATTGAAGGAAAACTGTTATGCTCTGCTCTTGACTTTGGCCCCTGGTGCTTTGGAACAATTACTGCACGCTTCTTCACCAGGGAAATCACTAGCAATAGCCCAGTTGCTTTCCTGTCAGTGACAAAATATTATAAGGGCAACACAAAAGGCTATCTGAGGGAAGAGTTGATGAAGATTGTTAGGGGTTAACTCGTCTCCCCAAGACAGACACTTCATCATCTCACCTTCCAAGACCTTAGGATTGATAAAGTTTAACCAGAGGAGATTACCTTCTCCAAATGTTACTTCTTGTGTGTGTGTGTGTGTGTGTGTGTGTGTGTGTGTGTGTGGTAAGCCATGTAAAAAGATTTACCTGCTTTGTTTTTTTCTCTCTACATAGAATGAGAGCTGTATATTATATATTAAACTCAACTAAAGTTGGTGCTTGAACAATATGGTTGTTAGTGGTGCCAACTCCTGCACAGTAGAAAATCCATGTATAACAACTTCTGACTCCCTCAAATCTTAACTATCAATATAACCCACTGTTCATCAGAAGCAGTATCAATAAGACACAGTTGATAAACACTTACTTTAGATGTTATGTGCATCATATACTGCATTCTTAAACTATAGAAAATGAATTGTTATGAAAATCAAAATAAAGAGAAAATATATTTACTGTTAATTAAGTGGAATGAATAATAATAAATGTCTTCCTCCCCATTATCTTCAAGTGGATTAGGCTGAGGAGGAGGCGGAAGAGAAGGGGTTGGTTTTGCTCTCTGGGGTCAGGGGGCAGAAGCAAAAGAAAATTTGTGTGTAAGTGAGCTTGTACAGTTCAAACCCTGTTCTTCAAGGGTTGATTGTACTTACTTTTTCAGAACTGTAAGAAATAGTACATTTTCTTGCTTCTGGGATGCTGACATATGCAGACACAAAAGCTACAGCTACTATTTTAAGGAATGTTAATTAATTTATTTCATATTCATTAGGCATCGAATATAGACTAGGTTCGATACATGCAATATAAAAGAAAATAAAGAGTTTCCAACCTAGAGGCATTCACAGTAGTCAAGTAGTATAACTGCAATATCATGTGTTGTGCTATGTGGAGATACGTACAATTACTATGGAGTCCATAAAATAAAGCAAGTCTATTTAAAGAAGGCAGGAGAGACTCGCGAAAAAGATGACATATTGTTTTATTTGAAATAACTAGAAATTTTGTGAGTGACTAAAGCCCAATAGAAAAGAATTGCTTCAGGTAAAGGGAGCAATATAATCAATGTTATGAAGACAGAAAAAGGACGTGTATGCTTCACCTGAGACACTGATGCTAAGCTACCTATTACCTGTACATGAAAGCAGCAGTAGGACAATGCCAGAAAATAAAGCTGCAGAGGTTTAGAGAAAAACGTAGGATTTTAAAGGCCCTCAGATGCGGTACTGGTGAGTGTGACCGTGATCTTATAAAAACGTGTACATCAAATATTTAGGTGATATTTCTAAGTCTGATATTTGTCCTTGAGAAAAATTTACATGGAGGGAAGAGTAAAATGGAAGAATGTTAGAGAATAAAAAAGGAAATTAAAATGATCTAGGCAAAAGGTGGTGAGGAATTAGACAAAAAGAAATAATAGGGATGAATGAAAGTGGCTGATTGGATGTAAAAGCATGCATTAAATATGGACCTCTGTTATCTACTGCAATATTTATCATGGAATAGACTATCAATATGTGCTGTAGGAAGAATGAATTTGGACTTCCAAATGGAAGGCAGAAATTGTCTAGTAACTCTTCCACATCGTCCCACCTCCTAACACTCTTAAGATTTATGCCTACTCTTCTTTATCCTTAATTTCTTATTAATCTACCATTTTTTTTCTCTTTTTTCTTTTCCACACTCCAGAGTTTGGTTCCTGACTTGATGTAGTATATATGGTCATAGTCACAAGCAAGTCTCTGTAGAGAAAGACTTCAGAAACATTCCTTGGGAATTACAGAATGTGTTTAAAGTAGACTTTCCACATGGAAGGGATGAGGACAAAAATCTGAATCCATTTTCTCTGCCTCATAGAGGAAAGATGTTCCCAAACTTTAATACATGAAGTTCCCCACAATTTATCTTACGCTGTTGGAAATTTATTCTGAGAGTTGATGTATTAGCCATAAAATATGCAATAGATTTTTATAGCTGTGGATAGCTAGCACGTTGGAAGTGTTGGTTTCAAAGCAGCCTGACAAATTTTTATAGCTTGAAAAGAAAGAAGGACATTGAGGTAATGTGTTTATTAGGCAAAGAGAATTATTAGTGGTAACCACAATATTGAGAAAATTTAATAAAATTAGTGACAATAAAAAACACAATCATGTGATAGCTGAACTAAAGCGAAAATTCATATATAGAATTTCAAAACAGCTATTTAGATTTTATTTAATTCAATCAAATTATGCATGCTTCAGGGTTACATTTTAAATGTTGTATTGATGCATAATACATGTACATATTTATGGGGTATATGTAATATTTTGATACATGCATATAGTGTGTAATGATTAAATAAGGGTTGTGTTGGGAACATTTAAAATCTTTAGCTATTTAAAAAGTATACAATAAATTTTTGTTAACTATAGTTACTTTACTGTGCTATCGAACACTAGAACATATCCCTTATATCTAATTGTGTGTTTGCACCCATTAATCAACCTGTCTTTGTCTTCCCTCCCCTTTCCTAGCCTCTGTTAACTATCTACCTTCTAGCTCCATGAGATTGACTTTTTTAGCCCCCACATGTGACTGAGAACATGTGATGTTTGTTTTTCTGTGGCTTATTTCACTTAACATAATGGCATCCATATCCATACAAATTGCTGCAAAAGACAGGATTTCCTTCATTTTTATAGCTGAATATAGTACTCCATTGTGAATATATGCTACATTTTCTTTATTTGTTTATCCATTGATGGGCACTTAGGTTGATTTTGTATTTTGGCTGTTGTGTATAGTGCTGCAATAAACATGTGAGTGCAGGTACCTGTATACATTTTTGGGAGGGTGGACAGGGTTTTGTTCTGCCACCCAGGCTAGAATGCAGTGGCATGATTGTAGCTCACTGCAACTCTAAATTCCTGGGCTCAAGTGAGTTTTCTACCCCAGCCTCCCAAGTAACAGACTACAGGTGTGTGCCACCATGCCTGGCTAATTTTTAATTTTTTTTTTTGTCAAGACAGGGTCTTGCTATATTGCCCAGGCTGGTCTTGAACTCCTGTCTTCAAGCAATACTCCTCCCTCAGCCTTCCAAAGTGCTGGGATTAAAGATGTGTGCCACTGCACTCAGCCTACTTACATTTTAGACACAGTCATTACTTATTTCCAGATACAGTCATTCTGCCAAGGCAGAAAATAAGCCAGAGAAGTTTTACAATTTTTTATAATGTACTATTTCTAAGTTCTGCTATACAACTTTTGTGTCTTCCCAATTAACCATTTAGCAAAAACAGTTATTATATCTATCTTATTCTTTAATCTGGTAAAAATGCTGGATTTTATTCCTGTGCATATTTTCTGATAAATTCCTAAATAAATATTTTCAAAATAACATTTACTTGATTTTTCAGACATTTTTGAAACCTCCTTGGACTTCTTCATGTTATCACTTTTCAAGTTGTGAAATAAAGACATGAAAACAATAGCAACAAGCTAAAATGTGAAACTTGAAATGTAATTTGATCTGTGACAGTTCTCTGATTGACTGAACATCTTCAGATTGACTAAATATATTTAGAATATCTTTAGATGGAATGGTCTATGACCAAAAGCAGGACATCTTGACAAAAAATATAAGAATGCAAAAAGTAACAAAGTTAGTCTACATATTTTTGAAGTAAAACTTCTGTCATTCCCTGCCACCTACCTTGTGTCTTAAATTTTGAAGGAGGAAAGGAGGGTGAGAAAATTATACAACATATTCTATGTCCTTTTAGGGATTATGATGGAATAAAACAACAAAAAAATCTGTATGTGGAGTCCTGCTTTTTAATTCACATTGATACTCCAATATCCTCTCCTATGAAAGGAAAATAAAAGCTATATTATTTACATGTCATATGTATGAAATGAAAAAATAAAGTGAACATTCTTTCAGACTATAAAGTGGTATACAAATAAAAAGTATTATAGAAAAACAATGTAAATAATGTAATAATAATGTAAAATTTCTTCTTACATAGCCTAGATAACATTAAGTACATCTGTCTAGTATCCTTTCTTACATTCTTACCCTAAAGGTTTCATTCTGAGGACTCATTCCTAGAGTTTATATGATGAGATCAAACAGCTCTAACAATCCCCTTAAAAGCGCTTGCTGCTCAAGTAGATTATTTTTCAGCTCTTTCAGCTCCAACTGATATTTTTCATCACTTTTCTTCACCTTACTGAGTCCTACAGAAATTGTGGAATATTTATTTGGTACTGGTCAGGTATTTGATTCATTTGTTTTTATAATTTTCAAGAGTATGTTTTGAACTCCAACAAAATCGTGTAGCTCCACACATTCTCAGAGACGGATGAGAGGTCACTTGCATATTTCAAGTCCCCTGATTTCCTGGGTCATCTCAAAATATTTTTTATGTTGTCAATGAGGAAAATCCCTTCTGACTCCTTCTCCCCAATCCTTTTAACACATTGCTAGGAAACTGAATACTTCATATGTCTTCGCTCTCATTCAAAGAACATGTTTTCCCCCAGGAATTAGTAGGCAAATGCACTGTTTTCCCATTTACTTCAATCCATTCAGAAAGAAAATCAAAACAAGCTTCTTGTGTTTTGTTACAGTTTTCTAGCCTCTCACCCAATATATCCATTAATAGTAAGTAACTTCTGCTCATAGGTTAACTCATAGGTTAACTAAGACCATAGTTACTAGAACTTTTTGTCTTTAGGCAATCATTTTTATAATTACAGAAGCTACCTGAAGAGGATAAGGCAATGGAAAATCGAAACCTACCAAATATTTAAGCAGCCTGTGTCAACAGAAGCTGCCAACCCCTGAATTTTCAATTCTCTAGAGCTGTGCCGCTCAAAATGTACAGTAAAGGACCTTTTTTAAAAAAAAAATAAAATAAAAAGATCATTTCTTTTGTGAACCAGAATTGGTCCTCTGACTCATGACTAGCACACAGCTCACGTCACATATCCCTCACCAGGTGACAACAAGGAATTATTCCGTAGTCTGTTCTACAAGAAGAATCCTCTAAAAACACACATGGAAGTTGCAGCAATGAGAGCTTATTATAAATTTTCTATATATATTTTCTCAATTTATTTACTTGTCTTACATGGTCCAGTGATACATAGTTCACAGAGAAGTGCCATGCTAAGGACCATCTTTTCAGTAGCAGTGTGAAAGGGGAGCTATTCCAAATATTCCTTGAGGTAACTTAAAAGGAGTCTCATTTCTATTGAGATAACAGTTGACCAAAAAGTCGCTTTGATATTGTGATAGATATAAAGAGCCAGATGCTCCTGCAATTTTCCACATTTCCATCCTTGCTCTACATAAACAGAACAGTTAAGATTTTCAGATCACTGAAACACAGATAAACTGCCGTAAGAACCCACTTTACAGAGCTGAGTAGGATTTCAGCAAAAAGTTCATAGCGAAGAGCCCTGGAGGAAAAATCAACAGAGGGTTAAGGACTCTACTGTGTTGGTCAATAATGGTGTAGTCTTTTCCCAGTCAATTTACCTCAGTGAATTACGCTTCCTTATTTATAAAATAAGATGATAAATCAGATTATCTGCCTACTAAGTCCTTTTCAGTACTATAATGATAAATTCATTGTTCCACTTAAAATCCACAGTCTCCCTAGCTACATTTATGATAACAAAGGTTTCACATCAAAATAAATAAATAACATTTTCTACATCCATTACTGGTGTTTCCCTAGAATAACATTCCATTTACAGAAGCAGTACTGAAGAGAATAATATAAAGTAGAAAATGCTGTCTATTATGTAATCATAGGAATTTACTAAAATGTCAGTTTCCTGATTAGGATTGTGAGTCATGTTTGAGTCTCTTAATTTCAAAGAGATGGGATAAAACACCCTTCAAAAATTAGAATTTATCTTCTTGTATGTTTAAATCTAGATCTGATTTCATGTTTCCTTAGTTAATTACAGTACAATAAATGGGGCTATGGAAACAAGTAGACTTCTTTTACTCTAGTCTTTCAAATAAAGGGCTCAGCTCCACAACTTGCCTTTATAAAGAAGACTATATAAGACAGGAAAAATAATCCAGTTGAAAATAACTCTGAGAAAAAATTGAAGGATCAAGGTGCTAAAATAAATTGTTGTCAAGACTGGGAGAGAAAATAAAGACTTCCTGTGAACACTAAAGCCATTAGGGACTCTAAGGCATATTGTGTTGAGCTGAGAGCAAATGAAGGAGAAAATGTATTGGAAGAGCTATTGGAAATTGTCCAAAAGGAATTAAAAGAGAATTTTGTGACTGTCCACAAAAAATAAGAGGGTTGAAACCAGAGATGGAAAAATTTAACGGATTTGAGGAAAGATTATTTTCTACACAATTTGTTGGCATAAAAAATATGTATCCAACAGAGCCATAATGATCTATAGAATACACTTCAAGCCAAGTTTCAACCCAAGTATATTAGGCCCATGCAGTTCTAGAAATAGATATTCTAAATATTCTAAGAGTAAGATAGGTAACATGCCTTATGTTTTCTGAATAGTATGATCATCTGCAATCTCGTCCACTCCCATGTTGTATTTGTTTGTTGTTCTGCTCGACAGTTTAAGCTAGGAGACAATTCCAATAGCTCACCCCTTTAATGAGTGAATGAGGATTTATAGTGCTGACAATTTGGGCCAACAATCTTTCTCAGAGAAATCAGTGGAAATAACTTTACTTTTGTAAAACTGTTACATATAGTATGGATTACGTACGCCATTTAGTTAATCATTAGAATTTCTCAAATAAAAGGATACCATCACAGACTTTCCCAAAGAAGCTGTTTAGATGTCATAATTGAATTTTCAACACAACACCTTATTATATATCACAAAATGATACATACCTGTGAAAATGAACCATATAAACACAGTTCTTACTTATTCAGATAAAAGCTTTATATGAGTTGTTCTTTCAATCAATTTTAACTTATATGATATACATTATTCACTCATTTAAGCACTACGAATAAAATCTCAAGACTTCCACTTTTTTATCTTCACAGAGCACACAAATCAAATCTACCAGCCTTCCCCTTCTCTAGTAATTAATCCATGGTTAACTCCATCTGACTTAGAATTCCTTAGCTTTTGCACTGTGTTTTTGTATATAAATAGCCATGAAACAAGTTAAATTTACGTCTCTCTCAGGTATCGCTGAATATGCTCCAATTGGTTGAACTTAAATAAATTAATAAAAAATCTGGCATCCAGAGAGGAAAGACAAGGCAAAGCTCAGAAGGAAGTGAAGACTATGTGGTTCTTATTTAACGACAGAAATTCAGTAACATTTCACCTATAGTCCCACAAAAAGTAAAGAATATGCGTAATGAGTGGGGTGATGCAGCTGAGAGATTTCTAAGGAAAGTATTGGAGGTGTCATCTTGTTTCTTCTAGCCAGTACAGTAAAATTCAAGAAGAGAGAGATAAATGAAAAACACTGTTAAGCAAAAGGAAGCCAAGATTTGATGTTGTCATAAATCCTCAGCCCTTCCAGATGACCAGAAATACTAAAATTAAGAAATAACTTTCAAGAAAACATAAAATCCAGTGCACTTCTTGGAAAACTTAGTCAAAAGGTGAAGCCAAGGGTGTGTCTATAAAACATTTTATTAAAACCTCAGTATATTCAGTCATACAGAAGGCCCTTTAAGACATCAGAGCTGTGCTTCCAAGATCTCCTTAAACAACTGAACAGAAATCTTAAAGACATTGTCCCTGGGCTCTTTCAACAGAACCCCCAAAACAGAGGACTGTCTTCTCTACAAGAGATTTGTAGGTACTGCTTTTGTCAAATGGAGCTAACACCAGCGATTACAGAAGACACACAAACTTCTTTAAAAAATTAAATGTGGAGAAATATCATTGTTTGGAATAAGTATCATAGAGATCATAAAGAATGAGGACAGTCCTTTGGATCCCAGAATACAGATTCCTCACAGCAGCTACAACCCCTAACCAAAATGAAAGTCCTAAGCCAATCCTCTTTCCCTGATCTCTCAAGTCCGTTTTGGAGGCATCTTTGAAAGCTTACTTTATTCTCCTCAGAACCCCTCAACTGCATAAGTAATAAACCTTTTTCCCCTCATACGATGTGTGTGGTGTCATCGGCTTTGACAGCAAAATCACATTTTGAGTCAGTAAATGAAAGGAGATTCAAATTAGCACTTTAGTTTTTTGAATATGCTTAGGTTTAAAAAAAAACCTTTCAGTTTCATACTTATAATTTGTGAAAGCAGTAATAAAATTTCTAACCACAGGAAAATTGAGTGGAATGTAATCTAAGCCCCGGTATTGATTAAGGCCGTAACAGTGATCAGGTGGTGCATTTTAGCAACATTAATATGGTGATTCTACACTTTGAGGCCTTCATATCCAGTATTATTGAAATTACCAGTTCCATATTGTGCTATTGTCGATTTGGCTAACATATTAAAAAAGTCTTACAGTTGGTTTGCCTTCATCTGCTAAAGAACAAAATATACATACATATACCACATGACTCACAGAATGCATCAACAGCCTTGCCACTGCACACTGTCTTTGTATAAGACTTTTTTTTTTTTTCGGTAGATCCTAAGTGGCAGTTTTATTAAGCTGACATTTTCCTTTTTTGAACTGCGTTACTTTGGCAAGTACTAACATAATCCTTTCTACATAACAGTCTCATTTTATGACAAATTACAGAATAATTATTACTGCTTTATCAAAAATATATTCTTCAGTATAAATGCAGTTTTCAAATGTTGGTTCATTTCTTCTCAATATTTATTATATCATAGGAATTTATTTCAAATTTTATTATAGAATCCAATGGAAAAAGAATTTAGTATGCAAACATTTACCTTAAAAGTGCTTTTTAAATAAAATATGTATGATGAAAATACATGTAAAAATTTAACTTCCATCTTTATTTTATCTTACTACATGTTCTCATACTATAGGTTTTTTAAGTTCATCCTTTTTTTAAGCTAGCAATCATATCTTGATAAATTGTGAAATGTCCCTTGAATTCTTTACTTTTTTTTAAAATTATGATTATTATTATACTTTTAGGGTACATGTGCACAATGTGCAGGTTAGTTACATATGTATACATGTGCCATGCTGGTGTGCTGCATCCATTAACTCATCATTTAGCATTAGATATATTTCCTAATGCTATCCCTCGCCCATTCCCCCACCCCACAACAGTCCCCAGAGTGTGATGTTCCCCTTCCTGTGTCCATGTGTTCTCATTGTTCAATTCCCACCTATGAGTGAGAACATGCGGTGTTTGGTTTTTTGTCCTTGCGATAGTTTACTGAGAATGATGATTTCCAATTTCATCCATGTCCCTACAGAAGACATGAACTCATCCTTTTTTATGGCTGCATAGTATTCCATGGTGTATATGTGCCACATTTTCTTAATCCAGTCTATCATTGTTGGACATTTGGGTTGGTTCCAAGTCTTTTATATTGTGAATAGTGCCGCAATAAACATATGTGTGCATGTGTCTTTATAGCAGCATGATTTATAGTCCTTTGGGTATATACCCAGTAATGGGATGGCTGGGTCAAATGGTGTTTCTAGTTCTAGATCCCTGAGGAATGGCCACACTGACTTCCACAATAGCTGAACTAGTTTACAGTCTCACCAACAGTGTAAAAGTGTTCCTATTTCTCCACATCCTCTCCAGCACCTGTTGTTTCCTGACTTTTTAATGATTGCCATTCTAACTGGTGTGAGATGGTATCTCATTGTGGTTTTGATTTGCATTTCTCTGATGGCCAGTGATGGTGAGCATTTTTTCATGTGTTTTTTGGCTGCATAAATGTCTTCTTTTGAGAAGTGTCTGTTCATGTCCTTCGCCCACTTTTTGATGGGGTTGTTTGTTTTTTTCTTGTAAATTTGTTTGAGTTCATTATAGATTCTGGATATTAGCCCTTTGTCAGATGAGTAGGTTGCGAAAATGTTCTCCCATTTTGTAGGTTGCCTGTTCACTCTGATGGTAGTTTCTTTTGCTGTGCAGAAGCTCTTTAGTTTAATTAGATCCCATTTGTCAATTTTGGCTTTTGTTGCCATTGCTTTTGGTGTTTTAGACAGGAAGTCCTTGCCCATGCCTATGTCCTGAATGGTAATGCCTAGGTTTTCTTCTAGGGTTTTTATGGTTTTAGGTCTAATGTTTAAGTCTTTAATCCATCTTGAATTAATTTTTGTATAAGGTGTAAGGAAGGGATCCAGTTTCAGCTTTCTACATATGGCTAGCCAGTTTTCCTGGCACTATTTATGAAATAGGGAATCTTTTCCCCATTGCTTGTTTTTCTCAGGTTTGTCAAAGATCAGATAGTTGTAGATATGTGGCGTTATTTCTGAGAGCTCTGTTCTGTTCCGTTGATCTATATCTCTGTTTTGGTACCAGTACCATGCTGTTTTGGTTACTGTAGCCTCGTAGTATAGTTTGAAGTCAGGTAGCGTGATGCCTCCAGCTTTGTTCTTTTGGCTTAGGATTGACTTGGCGATGCGGGCTCTTTTTTGGTTCCATATGAACTTTAAAGTAGTATTTTCCAATTCTGTGAAGAAAGTCATTGGTAGCTTGGTGGGGATGGCATTGAATCTATAAATTACCTTGGGCAGTATGGCCATTTTCACGATATTGATTCTTCCTACCCATGAGCATGGAATGTTCTTCCATTTGTTTCTATGCTCTTTTATTTCATTGAGCAGTGGTTTGTATTTCTCCTTGAAGAGGTCCTTCACATCCCTTGTGAGTTGGATTCCTAGGTATTTTATTCTGTTTGAAGCAATTGTGAATGGGAGTTCACTCATGATTTGGCTCTCTGTTTGTCTGTTATTGGTGTATACGAATGCTTGTGATTTTTGTACATTGATTTTGTATCCTGAGACTTTGCTGAAGTTGCTTATCAGCTTAAGGAGATTTTGGGCTGAGACAATGGAGTTTTCTAGATATACAATCATGTCATCTGCAAACAGAGACAATTTGACTTCCTCTTTTCCTAATTGAATACCCTTTATTTCCTTCTCCTGCCTGATTGCGCTGGCCAGAACTTCCAACACTATGTTGAATAGGAGTGGTGAGAGAGGGCATCCCTGTCTTGTGCCACTCTTCAAAGGGAATGCTTCCAGTTTTTTCCCATTCAGTATGATATTGGCTGTGGGTTTGTCATAGATAGCTCTTATTATTTTGAGATACGTCTCATCAATACCTAATTTATTGAGAGTTTTTAGCATGAAGTGTTTTTGAATTTTGTCAAATGCCTTTTCTGCATCTATTGAGATAATCATGTGGTTTTTGTCTTTGGTTCTGTTTAGATGCTGGATTACATTTATTGATTTGCATATATTGAACCAGCCTTGCATCCCAGGGATGAAGCCCACTTGATCATGGTGGATAAGCTTTTTGATGTGCTGCTGGATTTAGTTTGCCAGTATTTTATTGAGGATTTTTGCATCAATGTTCATTAAGGATATTGGTCTAAAATTCTCTTTTTTGGTCATGTCTCTGCGCGGCTTTGGTATCAGGATGATGGTGGCCTCATAAAATGAGTTAGTGAGGATTCTCTCTTTTTCTATTGATTGGAATAGTTTCAGGAGGAATGGTACCAGCTCCTCCTTGTACCTCTGGTAGAATTCGGCTTTGAATCTGTCTGGTCCTAACTGCATACAACTTCCTCTAGGTGCACAGATATGGCATTTCATTAATAATATCATCCTCTGAAGACATTCATTTGACACACTCATTCAGGACATAAAAATACTGACAAAGAAGCTCACAAAAAAAAGGATAAACCATTGTCCTACACATAATGCAAAGCCTCACCATCTCAGTTAAATTTCTGTAAGTTATTTTAGGGAAGCTGAGGGTTGCTTCATCCCTGACATTGCCAAGAAACCTGTCGGGTATTGACAATTGACTATTGACTCTCTCAGCACTCATAATTTATTTTAGGTTCTTTCTGGTTTGGGAGACAGCTTATTCCTTATTTACAATTTGGGTTAAGCCTATTTAAAATGCTACTGCAAATTGACCCACTTTGAATGGGCCCCCTTCTAATAAAAAGCTCTGGAATGTGTCCAAATTGCAATACAGTAGGCATTCCATCAATGCTTTAGCAGTATCTTTTCATGGTTCCTGGAATCTCTGGACCATTCAAGATGGCCATATGTTGCCCATGGGTTTCTGGTACAAGAACTGCCCTCCTCATCATTAAAACAGCAATTGCTGAACACATAACTAGACTCTCCTGTAATCAGAAAGTCTCATAGGCCATAAGCTTGTGACACTGTACCTAAGTTATATTTTGGGTAATAGAAGCAGCACCCCATAGACTCAGCAAAACTGAGAATTCCTTGCTGCAATTTACAGCCAAAGTTGGGACCTCCGGAATATCCCACCTGCAGGAGGAGGAGGTCTCCCCTGTCTCCAGTCTCTTGCCAGGTACCACAGTGCTAAATAAGGTTGTGCCTCTTGCAAACCCATTGGTTACTTGGGAAGCCCTTTGAGATCAACTGAGTTGACAACAATGGGGGCTCATATACTTTATAGGAGGCATTGTTACCACAATACATAATGAAGCTCAGGGGAGAGCTGCTGCTTTTCATTCTATTACCACTTTAGTCTCAAAATCAAAACAAAATTTTGGATGAGAGTCTATCCTGCTTTTGTCTTGAAGCTATGAAATATGATTTGTGTTTATATCCTCTATTTTATTCACCTATTGATAAAGAATCAATAATCACAAATATTGTGATTACTATTTTGAAGTCTATATTTCAGAGTCTAGTATTTCAAAGTCTATGACTAGCATATACTACTCTTTATAATGATGTACCTTATTAAGTTTAATCACTTTTAACTAGTTTAATATTGTCTTCCCCTGAAAGAAACATTGTACAACTCTTGCTTTTCAGTGTCTATTAACATATACTTTAAAACAAGGAATATATTTTGTTGCAAAGTAGGCAACCTGCAGCATTTGAATAAAACAACTTTCATTCAGTTTACTTAAAAACATAGTAATATTTTCTATCAGTCACATTTCTTTCCTTAGCATGATACACTGAAGAAATTTACATTTTATTTTAAAAGTGTTTTAATATTTTCAAATTATTTCAAAATTAAAGAAATTTGCAAGAATAACACAAATAATTATTTGTCCTGAGCAACTGGACAAAATATCTGTTCCAAAATATGTCATGTTTGCTTGTCATGTCCTCTTGGTCTTTTTCAGTCTAGAACATCGTGATCTAACTTTGACTGTCAGGACCAAAATTAGTTTTTGTTTTGTTTTGTTTTGTTTTGTTTATTTTGAGACAGTTTTCCTCTTGTTGCCCAGGCTGGAGTGCAATGGTGTGATCTCTGCTCACCGCCACCTCTGCCTCCCAGTTTCAAGTGATTCTCCTGCCTCAGTCTCCAGAGTAGCTGGGATTACAGGCATGCACCACTACACCTGGCTAATTTTGTATTTTAAATTGAGATGGGGTTTCTCCATGTTGGTCAAGCTGGTCTTGAACTCCTGACCTCAGGTGATTTGCCCACCTCGGCCTCCCAAAATGCTGGGATTACAGGCAGGAGCCACTGTGCCCAGCCAATTAGTTTTAATATTATAGATCAATTACTTTGTAGAATTTTCCTAATTTGTTTCATTTAATGTTTTTTTCATGATGTGATTCAGATTAGACTCTTTGGCAGAAATATCACAGAAGCGATGCTGTTCTACTAATTGGATTCTCTCATGTGACACAATTTTGATTTGTCCCAAATCCCATGTGGTTTGTCCCATATTAACTTTGATTATTTTATCGAGAAACCTTTATGTTTTTCTTTTGAAAAATTACTCTTTTCACTATTATAATTAATAAGTCTTTTATATGAAGGTTGTTTGTGACTATGTAAATATCCAATTCCCTATCAAACTTTCACACACTTATTTTAGCATCTATGGATATTAGTTGGCTAAATTAATTCCTGCTTGATAGATGTGGAATTGTGATCATCTAGATTAATCTTTCTAGATAATTAGATTAGCATTTTAGTGTAAGAAAAAATTTTCTCTTCACCCTGTAGTTTATTTTATTTAGTTTTATAAACATGGACTCATGGATTCTTTTTGTATTCAGTGGTTTATAATCAGTTACCACTATTACTTAATAGTATCTGAGATTGCCTCCAGTTTTGCCAGTGGATACTTCAAGGTGATTTGGGGTCTTTTTTCACCTGTATTCATTATTTTTGAGCACTTTCTTACTCTTAGGCACAGCATGATATTCAAGGATCATCATGTGTATCTTCTACCCCAGCCCTGGAATGTACCATGTTTTAAAATAGTTTCATTCCTTTCTGTGGAGAATCAAATTTAGAAACGAAGATCTTGGCAATAGGTTTGCAGACAGGTACTGAGGTGTTGCTACTCTTAAAGCTCTCTCAGTGAACACAGGCTCACACATACACATCTAAATTAATTTTAGTATCTCTCCATATATACTGAAAACTTTGAGTTACACCAATACTTTCTATTTTGATTCACTATATATGACTCATTCGAATTTCCTGCCTTTGCATATTTGCAAGTCCCTTCCATAAAGTCGAAAATTAGCTTCCATTTTCACTAGTATATTTACTTATTTAATTAATCCACCTATATGTAAATATTTATATTTACTTATGTAAGTAATATATTTACTTATTTAATTAATCCTCCTATATGTAAATAATCTCCCATCACTTTGGACAGTCTCTCAACCACAGGTGACCCCCCTGCACCAGCTCAAGCTCCAGCATTCCATGCCCTACCACACAAATGATACAATGCACTGGATTGCTGTTGTCATCACCACTCACCAAATACAAATGTCCCACAAGTGAACTGAGACTCTTAGCCAGGTAGCTGCTATGACTGCCCCCATGCAGAGTACATTTTTTATTCCACGTGGGCTATGACACACTTCACCAGCACCCCGCCACCACCACCACCATTATGTCGCATTTGCATAGATGCTTTTCTAACCATATCTCCCTCAACGAGACCCATCCTCCTAAATTGTTTTTGGCTTAAGCATGTCTTGCAATGCCCCTACCCATTCACTTCCCTACACCTTCCTCACTCTGTTTGGCTCTGACTCCCTGCGCTAGGATGTTGCTGTCTTCAGCGTCCTCCGCACTGCCATACACCTCATTCTATTTCAGTTTTATACCACAGCTCAGGCTGCAGTAATGAACCAAGATGAAATATCTCTCTCTAACTCTATTTCTTTATCTGTGTAAAGTTGATATTCTTGGAATTGTATTTCTGGTTAATTCCTAAATCTAATTTGGGAATATCCAGAACTTCATCATTAATAGAAAAAAAAAAGTTTTAAAAGATAAAAAAGCATAAGAAGAAGGAAGCCTTTTAACATTATTTTGAAATTACTTTTTTAAGTATATCATAACTTGTCACCTTACACGTAGCCCCCCAGCATTGTTAATGCCCATGAATGCTAATTAACCGTGAAATGCTTACTACGATGTTTTTCTAGTAGGCAGCCTCAAAATGTCCCATTATCGTGATTAAATATTTATTGAAGTGTGTCCTCAACACTAGAAGAAAGGTACAGAAAAAGGTTTCCACTTTAAAGACATTCTTGTACTCAGAAGTGGATAAAGGCAAGTTTTGTATCCAGAATTTCTTTTCTTATCTATCTTACGTTCTTATTCTATCATACTTCATCTTGTATTTATTTATGATTCTTCTACTTATTAAACAAACAAAAATTTAAATAGTTTCAATTAGAAAAAGCTTTCTGGAGAGAACTTTTGACAGTGGCCACCAATTACTTAAAATCCACCCATATCCTTTGATGTCCTTTATAGGAATTTACCTTATTACTTAAAATAGTTCAATCACTATGTACTATGTGATCAACCTCTGAATCAAGGCTTTTCAACATCAGCTCAATTCACATTTGAGCTAAAGTTTTCCTTGTTGTAGGGGCTGTCCTATGCCTTATGAGATGTTCAGCACCATTCCTGTCTTCTACCCACCAGATGCTAATATAATTAACCACCCCACATCCCACATTTGTACAATCAAAATGTTTCCAGGTATTGCCAGATGTCTTATGGCAAGGCAAAAGCCTGTATTACACCCATTGAGAACCATTGCTCTAAATACAGAAAGGTACAGTGGTTTGGAACATTGCAGTACATTACATATTATTTTCATGAAGTGCAGAATGTTTTATAAAAGCCTGTGAATAACAGGAATCAAATACAAGTAACCCTATGGGAAAGGCAGGTAGAGCAAGTGAGTAAAAATTGCCAGTGGAGACTTTGGTAAACTGGGAGCTTAAGGCATATGCTTCAACTAGAAGAGGCTGCTGTCTTTACGTTGTTATTGCCAAGTACTACAAGAGTCAAATACAGATCCAGTATTGCCAGTTCCAATGGTTATTCAAGGAAAAACACATTGGGGAATCTTCTTATGTTTAAAATGTAGAGAAATAATCCATTTTTCAAATACTATGCTAACCAAAACAATTTTTTAAATTTTAAATTCATGCTGTTGTGACCTCTGATACACTGTTAAGTGATAACATAAATACAAAATTATACAACAATTTATAGAATTTACCTGAGTTATGTAAATGTATATATTTATATACATATATACATAAACATACATAAATACTTCAATAATAGCAAAACTCTTTTAATATTCTTCAATGGATAGTTATTACTTTCATAATAAGAGTCATAATTGCCAACACATTGCTTATAGCTATGACGAAGCTTTGATGATGATTTTTCTGGAGAGAACACACGACCATCAGAGCAGAAGACCTAGAGGACTTGGGAGTTTAAGAAGCAGAGATGGACCAGAGAGAGGAACCCTTCAGTTTTTATGAGAGCCTAAATTTCACTGGCACCATGTCTCTTCTCTCACATAACAGGTGAAAGTCAGAATATGGAGGAAACAAGAAGTGTCAACTACCTGAAGAAAACTTAACAGGATATAACAGCTGCTCACTGCTAATCTTCCTATTATGGCCAAATAGAAGCTGAGGATATCATTCTACTTTGTGTGCCTCAGGGTTTGAAAGAAGAAAATGATTCCAAGGGTAAAGACAGTACAACACGAAACTTGGAGCTCAAATCAAATCCTGATATAACTTGATCAGAACCTTCTCTACAACTATTGTTCATTCTGCTTGTGCAAAAATTTTAATTCCCTGGTAAATGGAAGAATGGGGAGGGAGAAGAATCATTACAAGGAATCAATATCCCAGAATCTTAAGACAAAAACTTCATCTGGAACCTAGAATAAAATTAAAGATCCCTGAGGCTTGAGGAAATACTAGTGACAGATATATGTGCTGCTTTATGTGGGAGTTATTACCATTCTAAGGGAGCCCATGTGTTCACAGTTCGGGTCCCTCCCTCAGGAGGTGACTTAAGCAGCATGTACTGGAATGAAAATAAATTTTTCTTGTTGGACATACTAACCAGGGAGTATTGCAGGATCTGAACAATCCTTCCATCTTAATATGGAAAAGTAATTATTTCACTTTTTTTCTTTTTTGAATTAGTAATGTTTACAGGTCAAGTCTTCTTTCCCTCCTCTGGAAAGAAAGCTACCAACAACATTTAGTTAATTTGGATTTGGAGTCTAATGGGTCTTTGATGTCTACTGTAGAAGAATAAAAATGAACTGGGTTTGTTGAGTAGATCAAGAAGGAAAAAAAACTAAAGAAGAGAGAAACAGAATTTCCTAACTTGAAGAAGACATGTGAAGATTGGAAGTGAGGGAGCCGAGAGAACAGACCTAGCAAAAGACTGGTCAGCTGGCTGCACTTCAAAGATGGGCGAGTCTCCTAAGAAAAATGGCTACTTTCGGTAAAACCTGGCCAGAAGAAGCCATGGAAAAGACTCTCTTGTTCAATAATTGCAGAGAACTAGTAACAACATGCTGGACCTAAATGAATCCTTTTCATGGGGAAAATGAGTATCACAGTGGTAATTTTTATGGGCAACTGACAACTTGCCATAACCATTTCCTCCACCATTTCATTTTAAGAAAGATCCCCAATCCTGTGGTGCAACTGTAAGGGAAGCCCAAGAATCCCTGAAGTGAAATTTTCAGTCAGTGTCCAGGATTGTGCAGCTAGACTTTGCTTTATTAATACATAAAGAAATGGAATATTTCTTCTTGACTTCGTGTATTGATACTTCTTCACCTACTCTCTCACTCTTCACACTTTTTTATGTTCTACATTTTCTAGTAGGTGCATGTATCATTTTGGGAGATCAAAAACAGTTCTATGAGCAAAATCCAATTGTACAAATTACACGTGATACCCTTATCTCTTTGTTTTCAATGAACACAAGCTATTCGTGACTGGAATTTTAGAATGACAACATGTAGGTAAAATTGACGTTACCAACGCCAATATATATTTTCTCAGTGATTCATGGCAGTATGTAGAACTCACTGGAAATAAAACTATAGCTAATTAATCCTATTTTGAAATATAGAAAGTTTGAAGCAATGAACACATAGTATTTCTCATACACACTGTCTTTCTTAATTGTATGCTCCTCTATAGCTTTGACATGGGTATTACTTTCCTCGACATTAGTGTTATTGTATTATTCAGCTTAAGGGATTAATAAGCACTACATTTTTGAGAGGTTAACATTTGGCAAACAATAGAAATAAGAGATTTCAAATGAAAATGAAAACAGAAAGAAATACACAATAACATATTTACTCAGAGAAAAAAAATGCTTTGATGGCAAACATTTCAGTTTTTCACTTTATGATTTACATATGATCTTTAGAAAGCAATCGGCCAGACGCGGTGGCTCATGCCTGTAATCCCTGCAATTTGGGAGGCCAAGGTGGGTGGATCACTTGAGGTCAGGAGTTCGAGACTAGGCTGGCCAACATGGTGAAACCCCATCTCTACTAAAAATACAAAAAATTAGCTGAGCATGTTGGTGGGCACCTGTAGTCCCAGCTACTCAGGAGACTGTGGCAGGAGAATCACTTGAACCCAGGAGGCGGAGGTTGCAGTGAGCCGAAGTCACACCACTGCACTCCAGCCTGGGCAACAGAGTGAGACTCTGTCAAAAAGAAAGGAAAGAAAGAAAGAAAGAGAGAAAGAGAGAGAGAGAGAAAGAAGGAAGGAGGGAAGGAAGGAAGGAAGGAAGGAAGGAAGGAAGGAAGGAAGGAAGGAAGGAAGGAAGGAAAGAGAAAGAAAGAAAGAAAGAAAAAAAGAAAGAAAGAGCAGGCAAGCAGGGAGGGAGGAAGGGAGGAGGGAGGGAGGGTGGAAGGAAGGAAGGAAGGAAATCAGGGAGGGAGGAAGGGAGGAGGCAGGAAGGATGGGAGGAAGGAAGGAAGAAAGGGAGAGAGGGAGGGAGGGAAGGAGAAAAGGAAAGAATTCAGCTTCCTCTTTTTTCTTTCCCAGTGAGGGCACATGACATCTGCCTTGCTTTGGCCCAAAAACAAGACAAAGAATCTGTGACCATTTTCCATTATTTTTACACCTACATTATAACAAATATATTTGAAATAATTCTTATCCCTGAATTGCTTTACCTCTTATACCCCAACTTTAATCAGAGATTAATTAAAATAGGCTCCATTAAGAAATATAATTCATATGCTTCTCAGTGTACATACATTGGGATTATCAATGAAATATTGAACTTCTTGTTACATAAGTACACAGAGATATGTTTATTTGTGTACAGATATGTATAATTATGTGTGTAGAGTATGTGCATGTAAAAAATACCAAATGATCAGTATTTCTTATTTCTATATCTAGATTATTAAAACTTACCTGTATTATCATCCTTCTCATATAAATATGTAGAATAAAGTATTCATCTACATTTATTAGACATTCTTAATAGAAACTACATGTGTGTGTATATATGTATATGAACCATATTTGTCTGTTATCTTCATTTAGTGTATGCACTTGTATTAGAGACAGCTATTTTAAAATTTTTTAGATGTTTTTATTTAAGTCTAGAATATGTAGATAAAAGGATACAGATTATAATTTTACAAATCAATACATTTTTTACAGTGGAAAAACACTTATATAACCAGCATCCAGATCAAGCACTAGAGCACAACCAGCATTTCAAAAGCACCCGACGACGTTCTGCCTTTCCTTTTACTACCTCATTTCCCCAATAGCAACTACAATCCTAACTCCTAACACCCATGTTTTGCCTCATATTGAAACTTATATCAGTGGAGTCATTTATCAAATATTCCTTTTTAAATTTTTTAAATAAGTTCAATTTTTATTTTGGATTCAGGCGCTACATGCAGAGGTTTGTTACATGGGTATATTGAGTGTTGCATGGATATATTGAGTGTCACATGGGTATATTGAGGGTTGCTGAGGTTTGGGATGTGAATAATCTCATCACCTAGGTAGTGAGCATAGTCCCCAACAGTTAGTTTTTCAACACTTTTCCCCCTGCCTGCCTCCACAGTCTTGTAGTCCTCAGTGTCTATTGTTGCTATCTTTATGTTCATGAGTACCCGATATTTAGCTTCCATTTATAAGTGAGAACACATAGTATTTGGTTTTCTGTTCCTGCATTAATTTTCTTAGGACAATAACCTCCAGCTACTACTAAGTTACTGCAAAGAACATGATTTCATCCTTTTTAAATGACTGTGTAGTATTCATAGGTGTATGTGGAACACATTTTCTTTATCCAATCCACCATTAATGGACACCTGAGATGATTCTGTGTCTTTGCTATTATCAATACTGCTGCAGTGAAAATATGAGTATATGTTTGTTTGTTTTTGGTAGAACAATTTATTTTTGTTTGGGTAGATACCCATTAATGTGCTTGCTGGGTTGAAAGGTAGTTCCATGTTAACTTTTTTGAGAAATCTCCAAAGTGTGGTTGAAATAATTTATATTACCACTAACAGTATATAAGACTTTTCAGGCCGGGCGCAGTGGCTCACGCCTGTAATCCCAGCACTTTGGGAGGCCGAGGCGGGTGGATCATGAGGTCAGGAGATCGAGACCATCCTGGCTAACAAGGTGAAACCCCGTCTCTACTAAAAATACAAAAAAAATTAGCCGGGCGCGGTGGCGGGCGCCTGTAGTCCCAGCTACTCGGGAGGCTGAGGCAGGAGAATGGCGTGAACCCGGGAAGCGGAGCTTGCAGTGAGCCGAGATTGCGCCACTGCAGTCCGCAGTCCCGGCTGGGCGACAGAGCGAGACTCCGTCTCAAAAAAAAAAAAAAAAAAAAAAAAAAAGACTTTTCAAGGGCCAACTTAAGGCCAATCTGCATTGCTTTAAAAACCGTTAACATGGGGAGCTCTCATTAGTGAATAACATCACAGCATAAATTAGGTTTATTCATTTAACAGATACACATTGTTAAATTGCGATCCTGAATTCTGCAACAAATCCAGTAAAAGATATTGTCTTTGCCTTGGAAGTATGCATAAGCATATTGAGGAGGAGAACAGTTTTATAAGTCAGTAGTTACGATAAAAGTTCTATGATATGCATTTGTACAAAGTGCCACAGAGTATAAACTCTGCAAAGGAGAGCCAAGGGGGAATTCTATTAGACTTTCCCTCCCCACGAGCACAATGTATTACAGAATTTAGTATAGGCAAAACATTTTTCCCTCTAGATGGCATGGGTCCTACCTAGATTGAAAGGACTAAGAACGGCACAGAGCTCAGTGCTCAGTCTTCTAAAAAACTAATAAAATATTAAGTCTCACAATGATAAGCATGGTCTATTTATTTTTTCCTGAGTGGAACAGGAGGCAACAGGAAAATAAGTTTTTATGGTGTGTTCAGCAAGATGTTACTCCTCTTTTTGTATAAGATTGGTCCTATTGCTGACGTTTTCTATATGTCACACAGCATTTTATGTCACACAGTTCCTCAGCGTAACCTTACTTGCCCATGCTCCATATTGAATCATGGACAATTTAACTCTGACAGTAATCTCACTTCCAGCTGGGAACTGTCCTCTACGCGCCCTTCTAGCTGAACCAAGAAAAACATTGAGAATGATTGCATGCAAGTATTCATGAGGTCAATTTAATGACGAACCATTCTGTGACCTTAAATATGATAGATTCTGGAAGAAGACACAATATTTGTAATTATTATATATAATTATTTCATGCTTAAGCCAGTGATATTCAAACATATTTTAAGGAACAACAACTTGCAGTGGCCATCTTATTGTGATTAACAAAAGATTACCTGAAATGTTCTTTCATCACATTTGCCTGGCAGGCTTCTTTGACATTTAGCTTTCAATTTATACATTACTTTATCAGCCAGGCCTTTCCTAACCATCAAAAGCAGTATCTCTTTATTACATTGCTTCATTTTTTTGCTATAACATTTATTTTCTGGGCCTTTTGAGAAAGCTGTACAGAATATCAGCTAAATATTGAGAATATGAAATAAAACATGTATTTTTAGGAAATTAATATTTGTGTTAAATTAATATTGAACTGAGTTTGCCATAATCCAGCAGAATTATCTCAATTCAACCATAGTGTTGCTGCCTTTATGTATTGTAGATATGGAGAGTATGTGTCAGATTTTCATCTCAAGAGTAAGTAATGCTGCTAAAATAAATTGGAAAAACAATGCCTTGGCTCATAGCATCAGAAATTCTGTGCTATCATAATATTAGCTGAATTAGATTTTGTTATAATGATTTTTACAATTATCATTGTTTGTGTTCTGACCCACCTTAAAGTCCTTAAATAAATTTCACATTTTAGCTCTTAGTTCTACAGGCCAGAAGTGTCACTGCACTTGCCTGGGTTCATTGCTTAGTTTCTTACAGGCCCATCTCTACAGGTTGTTCAGGCTGAATTGTCATTGGAGAAAATCTGCCACCATGTTCTTTCTTGTTGTTAGGAGAATTCGTGGGTTTTTTTGTTTGGTTAATTTTTTTTTTCAATTCAAGGACTGAAGTCTCCATTTAATTAATAGTTCCCGGTCAGGTGTGACTCCCAGTTCCTAGAAGCCACTCACATTCCTTCCTACATGGCTCCTCTCTCTTTGAAACAACAATGGCATGTAGAATCTTTTTCATTCTTTGAATCTCTGACTTCCTCTTCTGCTTCTAATTTCTAGAGAAAACTCTTTGCTTTTAAAAGACTTGTAATTAGGTTAGACCCACGTGGATAATCTCGTTTTCTTTACATCAACTGTTTCATATAACATAATCTTATAATGAAAGTAAAATCATCATATTTACTATCCAAAGGACTTGAAACTCATATATACCAGGGGACAGGGAATCTTAGAAGCCATGTAAGACATCTGCTAACCATACAAGCAACTATAGTTTATGTATTCAACAAAGCAGGGGTATTAAAATAAAAATATTTTAGAAATAAATTGAAATTTTAAAACTGTTCTAAGTTATCTTTGTAGGAAATATCAGGATTTTACTGAAGTGTGTTATAGTTGCGTGTGTGTGTTCACTTTGCCTTTGTTTTATTTTATTTTTCTTTTGCTTTGGTTGTTTGCTTACCTGTTAAATTATATGTGAAGGACACAAGTGATATTCTAACTTCTGACACAGTTGCAGGGCCAGTTGGTGCACTACTTATTCAGAACGTCAGAAAATATGCATAATTCTCTTCTTCTTTTGAATCATGAACAAATAAATATAGTTGTTGATATGCTTTTCCTTAGAAGACACACATTACAAGGTCAGAATACTGAATATACTATAAAATTGATAACGTATTGTGTTTACAGATATTGAAAAGCATTCTAAATACTTCCACATCCCTATGGAAGAATGATGTCAACTTATTTGAATGTTCTATGCTGCAAGGAAAGTTTAGGGTAGACATTTAATTACTTTTTATTATAAACTAAAAGTAGACACTAATAGAAATTGGTTTACAGTAAAATACCTAGAAATACCACTTACAGGTTAAGTAACTTGATTCCATGTTACTTACATCTCTAATAATAAGCTGACACCAGTAACCAATGGCTTGGATGAAAATACCCACAAATTATCATTTGTGTATAGAACAGGATAGAATGAGACTAAACATGATATTCTAAAATTTATGTTTATTCATAAACACAGTCACAAAATAGATGCAGGAGGTTGCACCTGTTTAAGGCACATACTTTCCCAGATTGCAGTTAACTCAGTCTCATCATCTCCTCTAGATGAAATTTCTACAGTGGGATGGAGTTAATTAAATGAATTCTATGAAAACAATTAGTGTTTGTGGAATATGGAAACAGAACTGCTCTAGTAGGTGTATATGAAGATATTATATGGAGTTTATTGCATAGTTTTTCAGATTTCGGACATTACTCACAAGAATAAAACATTCATGGTCATGCATGCAAAAATCTCCCTATGTAGGCGTGGTATTATCATATTACCCAAGTTGATTAATGCTTCAGTTGCAAACTAAAGGCAAAATATTCATATAACTTTCTGTTTCTACAAGTAAAATGAAAATAAAATAGCTTTTTCCAAAGTTACACGAAATGTCAAGTAAAAGTGGTTTGCAAATTAAATTAACTAGAAAATTGCCTCAGTTTTCCAGTGATACAATCTCATTTTCTTCCCTGAATTCTTATGAGATAAAAAATGGTCTTATTATTAACTCTTACTTTATTTGACTACAATCAAAAGGAAATTGAATTACTTTTTAAAAAATGAAATGGTTGTAATTGTCCAAAGAGAAATTTCCAAATGGAACCAAATGCAAAATTTCTGGTAAATATACAAAACTCTCTTGAAGCTAACAATTAAATGACCTACTTCGCATGTACTTTAATAGTTTTAGTCAATCTTGTTATAATTTACACAGAACTTCATTACTAATTCCAGCAAATCATAGAAAATCAAATTCAAAGAAATCATAGAAAGACTTTAAAGTTACCTATCTTAACATAGAATTCACTCATTAGCTTTCATTATTGTTTCTTCTGGACAGCTGCATTTGTGGTACCAGGAATGTTTGCAAATTTAACTCAGTAAGAGAATAAACCAAGTCTATCACCTACATGATAGAGTTACAAACACTTGAAGTTGGCTAACATATGTTTGTGCATAATCAAAACATATCACATTATGTATTTCTTATGTAACACATTTGCTAGATTTTTCACCTTAGTTGCTCATCTCTGACCAAGTGCTCACTTACTATTGTTGCTTTCAGATATAGAACCAGCATTATTAAAACTCAGGCTCCTGAGCAGTGTAGCCTGGAATCTGAATGGACACTACCTTTTGATCTTAGCAAATTACATAAAATTTTAAGGTTATATTGAAGGTATCTTTTTTTGGACAGTGTAAGACATAAATGGTATTTTGTTTCAGCTTGACTTTCCGGCCCTTTAAGAATCAACCTAATCCTACTAGGAATTCTATATCAGAGTATGAACTCTCTAGTTTCCTAACTTTATAATTAACATGCAACAAGGCATCTAATCAAAGCATCTCTTTCTCATTAGTACAGTTCTGACAGTTTCATCATCAGGTGGCAAGTCCAGCAAATTGTGTTGCTATCCTATCAGATATGTCAAGAACTTGATCTTCCTTTCCATTAAGTCAGATTAGGGATAGGAACCAATTTCCATTATAAAAATGTGAATGAAAACAAGTAATGCTTTTCCAACAAAATTTTCTAAGAGAAAATTGATTTAAGCTCACATTATTCTTCCTATATATTCTACATGAGCCAAGTATTTTTAAATATTAATTGAATAATTCAATATTGATGAACTGTGAAAATTTTTTAAAAATTTGAAATCAATTAGCTATTTGGTTACAGTAAATTTTGAGGTATTGCAAAAATAAAGACAAATTAGCTATTGGAGCTTATTCATGACTGTGAGTGGCATAATTATTTTAACAGTTATTGTTATTTTGGGATAAATTGTATTTACTCTTCCATTTATTACCTCATATATTACATAATTCTGTATTTATTTATCTCATAAGCTATTCATAAAGCTATTAGGAATATCTGATCCTGATCATTAACTAATGAAATTGCTCCTTTAATTATGTTTATAATATATGTAAATATATAATATAAATTATATTTATATTGAAATATTGTTATAGGAGATTAAATAATAATTTTATCTTTTGTTCACTGTCATTTTAGATTCTACATCTTCATTGCTGATTTATTTGCAATACCCTTTCTGGTCTTCAATCTTGTTTCAAAAATTTGCTTTATATGGAAACTCACCTAATTACACAGGGATATGACTGTTCTCAGAGAGTTTATAAATAATCACTCTGCAAGGAAAAATATTTGTGTTTATATCTGTAAAAACTATTTTGTAATAATAATACACCTGAGAAGAATGCCATTAAAAATCAATTGACCCAGAAGAAGCTGATGAAAATATGAATAAGATCCCAAATTGAGAGAGACTTGAAAGTTACAGTATTCATAAAAATTTCATAAAGCTGTGCCCTCTTATCATTTTATCTATGATGAAAAATAAAAATGGAAATAAAATCGTTATGAATTTAAGGTCTAGGAAGCTCCTGACCTTTAGAAAGGCCAAAGGCAATCACATGTGTTAGCTTACTATTGGGCAATGTGCAAGAAGGTGTCCTGGGAAGTTCAGGTGTGCTTTAGTAGTGTCAAATTCCAGAACTGATTGTTAGGTTTTAATAATGGCTATTGCAAACACTTTGCCTGTAAATTTTGTATATGCTGTATGTGTTACTTAGTATTATAGGATCGTTCCCTTTTTCAACTCTCTAGTTTTAACTCTTAAGGAGGGTCTTTATACATTTTTAAGATTTTATTATAATTTTTACAAATATGGAAAAGTAAAATGATAGTAGAATAATAAATCCACACCTTCTCCATCTAGATTTAACTATTTTTAGTTTATTTCTATAATTTATTTCATTGTATGTATATGTGTGTGCACCTGTGTATGGGAGAACTGTGTTTTGCTGAACCACTTCAAAGTAAGTTGTGGACATTGCACTCCATTCCTAAATATTTCAACATATGTCTCTGAAAAATAAGGATATTATGTGACATAAAATGACATTATAAGCTCCAGTAGCTAGTTTGTTTTTATTTTTGTGATATCTCAAAATTTAATGTAACCAAATACTAATTGATTTCAAACTTTTTTTAGTTTTCACATTAGTTTATGTGATGAACAATATTAATAGTATGAAAATGAAAAATATTAACAGTAATTCCCTAATGTCCTCTATTATCAAATTGAAATTTAAATATACCCAATATGTCATAAGTTTCTTTTCTGAAGCTTTTCTTTTCGTGTCTACCATTATCTAATCAAGATACTCACAAATGTGTTTTGTCTCTTACTCTAGAACAGTTCCTACTTTTCAAAGTGACATTGATCCTCTTGTACAGTTTATACTAATTTGTCTTATAGAATGTCCCATAGTTTGGAATTGTCTGACTGTTTTTTGAAGGTATTGTTTGATTTGTTCTTCTTTCCTCTGTATTTACTTTAAACTTAAGGCTAGGTATGAGATTACATTGTAATTTTAACATGGCAAAAGCTCAATATCTGCATCAATCAGCCACTGTGCTTGAAAAATTAATAAATAAAGAACATAAAGTGTACTTTTAGGCCAAACAAAATAATATAAGGGTTACCAAAGTTTTTAAATACCCAATTACATTTAACAAAAGCAAATCAAATTTAAATGTTCCTCTATTCAGTATTAATAATTGACATTTAAATATAGCATTGCTTTATGTATCAGTTAAATAGAACTATAATATCCCAGTGACTATTTATGTATCTTTATCAATAATAACATGCTGGTAATAATAATAACATTTATCATGAATTAATGAAGGTAATAGAATTCATTGTGAAATGTTAGTGAATTGACTTTAGATAATAATATTACAGATTAATATTTTAAAATTTTATTTAAATACATTACTAGATGTATATCACTGTTTTCTATATCTGATAAATAAGATAACTGTTTGCTTCATCATTTTATTTTTTCTATTCTGCTTCATTTTATGTTATTTGGTCTTAGGTGAGTTTTGTTATCTTTAATCAACACCAAGTCCTACAACAATATAAGCCTTGCAAAAATGTTTCCTTTTTCCCCTGCCCGGTAATATTTTTGTTTGTATAGATGTATCAGCTTTTTCAAAGTATCACCCATTAAGACTGTGTGTAGACACATGAATTGTTCTATATGGTTTACATACACGCCCTTAACTGTCTATCTTTGAGATATGAAAAGCATACAAATACATTTATAGTCAATGTGAAAATTTTGAAAATTATGTTAAAGTCAAAATAAGCCAAATTAACAGAGTAATTACCTCATTATGAGTGTGTAGACATATAAACTCAAAACTCTAGTGAAAAAAGACACATGAATACTTGTACTAGATGAAAAACAAAGGAGCCCTTTTTCCAAGCAGCAGCGGGATTATGAACAAAAGCATCATGAACAAGATGAGTTTCAATTTGTTCTTGTTTAGTTGTTTCAGCTCATTCCTTAAAGAATTTTGTAGAAAATTAAGAACTCTAAAGCAAGCATAGAGCTCTTCATTGTTTCTCAGAACAGTAACCACCCAGTAAATATGGGACACCAAAGGAAATTTAAAGAGTTCCATCAAATACACAACTTTTCTATATTAAAAGGAGGAAAATATAACATGACATATGGATGATGAGTCATATGCCATTCTCCCAACTTGAGAAAAATATGTTTTACTTAGCTGATTGAATAAACAAACTGAAACTGATTGAATAAATCTACTGAAACACAGACTTATATAGTTTATATTTTTGTTTATTTTGAAAATAATATTCATTTGTATTTTTTATTATTTTAAAATGGAACTTATACAATCTTTCTATAATCAATAGGATTTACTGGAGAAAATAGAAGTTGATAGACCACTATATGGTCTGCTGCTCTATACACTGTTTACTCTTTATGTGTTCAAATTTATTTTTTATTTTGTATTGAGACAGATTCTCACTGTCACCCAGCCTGGAATGCAGTGGCACAATCTCTCTCACTGTGACCTCCACCTCTCAGGCTCAGGCGATCCTCCTGCCTCAGCCTTCTGAGTAGCTGGGATTACAGAAGCACGCTACCTCGCCTGGCTAATTTTTTGTATTTTTGGTAGAGACAGGGTGTCACCATGTTGCTGAGGCTAGTCTCGAACTCCTGAGTTCAAGTCATCTGCCCACCTTGGCCTCCTAAAGTACTAGGATTACAGGCTTGAGCCACTACTCCCACCCTCAAATAATTTTTCAGTAGAATAATACCTTTCTACCATTTCATTTTCCTGCTCCAAGAAAGCACATTCTTTCTTGTGAAAGTCACACTCAGTCTCTGCCACTTTACACTGGACTTTTTTAGACAAAATATGACTTTTGTAGCTCCTGGGAAATAAAGTTGAGATAAATCAGGATTGGTTAATTTAACTGCCCAAATATCTTAAACTGTATAGGTGATGTTCGTGTATACTTTGTAAATGGTGATCCAATAATTTATCAAAGAGCAATTGATCCCATGTTATAATGCTCAACTAAAATAGAAATATCAATGTCAATTTTACTGCCTAGAGAGAAAATTTCTTGTACCCTAAATCATAAAATATTTGACGTCCTCACAAAAATATCAGAGGGCATATTAGTTATGGTAACTCAGACATCCAAATATCTCTGTGGATTTAATACAATAGGAGTTTATCTCTCCTTTACACAAATGCCAGATGTTGATATCTTCCAGATGCTGTCTCAGATCATTCCAGGACTAGGCACTGCTCAAATGTGGCTCTGCTATTTTCAACAATTCTAGGCAGCAACAGGATGGGAAAAAGTGGATGTGGAAAAGAAAACTTGTTTCTTAATAATGTCAGTCCAGAAACAACAAGAGCAACAACATCACATTAGCTCACAATGTTTGGGAAATAATCACAAGGCCATACTCTAATGTACCCTAATTACAGCACCAGCCTGTGTAGCTGCTTCTTAGAAACATGCCTACAAAAGAGAAAGGGAACATGAATCTTTAATGGACAGTCAATAGTCTCTGCCACAGTTGGAAATTTGAAGAGCTTCATAAAGTAGTGAACTTATACCCTAGTAAGTTTATTTTCTGGTTCACTTATTTTACTATATGTAACTTCAAGCATGAGAAGGCATTGTAGAGCCTTCTACATGATTATATAACATTGTGTGTATGTACCCTAAAACTTAAAGTATAATAATAATAAAATTTAAAAAATAAATAAATAAATAAATAAATAATGGTAAAAAAATAAAAATAAAGAAAATAAAATTCATACTAAAAAATGTGATCATACATAATCATGTAATATATAACAAGCAAATCATGTAATATATGATAAGTAAAAAAAAATCTATGGGTTATGTAATTTATTTTCAGCTTTTTGTGGCTAAATTTTTAAAATTAAGTTTTGTTTTATTTTGTTTTCAAAGAAAACTGAGGTTGGCACATTGGGAAAAGAAAAGAGTGTTATACCAAAGTGGGATGTGAGATGATGGATATGGTAATTTGCTTCACTATAGTAACCATTTTACTGTCTATATGTATCTCATGACATCATGTTGTTTACCTTAAATATTTAGAATAAAACTTATTTTAAAAAAAAGAAAAGAAAGAAAAGCGTGTTATAAACTGAAGAGTGGTGATAAATGAGCCTAGTTCTGGCTTGACTCAAAACTTGTTTGAAATCCCAGCACTTTGGGAGGCCAAGGTGAGCAGATCACGAGGTCAAAGAGATCCAGACCATCCTGGCCAACATGGTAAAACCCCATCTCTACTAAAAAATACAAAAATTAGCTTGGTGTGGTGGCACACCCCTGTAATCCCAGCTACTCGGGAGGCTGATGCAGGAGAACCGCTTGAACCCAGGAGGCAGAGGTTGCAGTGAGCCGGGATAGCGCCATGGCACCCCAGCCTGGTGACAGAGCAAGACTCCATCTCAAAAAATAAAGTTAAAAAAAAATAAAAAACTTGTTTGAATCTCTTTAGAGTTAAGTTAATCATGTAAAGTGAAATATTGTTTTACGTGGTCTCTCTCTCTCGGTTTTTTAAATTTTCATGATATTCTGGCCGTGCGCAGTGGCTCACTCCTGTAATCCCACTTTGGGAGGCCAAGGCAGGCAGATCACCTGAGGTCAGCAGTTCGAGACCAGCCTGACCAACATGGAGAAACCCCATCTCTACTTAAAATACAAAATTAGCTGGGTGTGGTGGCACGTGCCTGTAATCTCAGCTACTCAGGAGGCTGAGGCAGGAGAATCGCTTGAACCTAGGAGGCAGAGGTTGCGGTGAACTGAGATTGCGCCATTGTGCTCCAACCTGGTCAACAGAGTGAAACTTCATCTTAAAAGAAAAAAAATTCATGATATTCACCAATAATCAGGCCAGTCACACTGGTGTTCTTTCTGTTTCTTGGACATGTAGAGCTCATCCTCATTTTTGTCCTTTCTATTATCTCTGATGGCAATTCTTTCTCCCAGTTCTTTCTTTGCCTAGTACATTCTCAAATGTTGACACTTCAGAGTATTATTTTCTAGTCATTTCATCTAAGGTAAGCTTCCAACTCACACAGAGTGTGTCAGCAAATACAGCATTCCTTTGAGCAATTTTGTCTGTTCTTTTGTAACATTAAGCAATGCTAGTGTTGTAAGAACTCAGTGGAAGTAGTGGGAACACCTGAGAACTAGAAGTTTTGGACTGTAATCACTCATAGTGCAACCCTAAGAGAGGCATCCTGCAATCCTGTTTGTCATTGTGTGCCAGACCTTCAAAGGAGCCAAGTCTTGGCATTCAAATGCTCTCAGCTGAAATGAATTGTGACAGTTTACATAATCTATTGTATGTTAGGGAGCATCTGTTTTAACCATGTTCTACGTAATTGGGCTCTCTGCCACTTTTCAGAGGTTTTAGGTTTATTAACAACATTCAAATGTAGTAAAGTGATGTCCCATGCTTTGTATGATGATTTTCTCCAATACTTAGCAGAAATAAAATTGGAATTTCAAGGCAGCAGGAGTATCCCAGGATCTATTATTGCCCTTTGCTGAGAAAATCAAAATGTTTTTCCTAGGTTTTTGTTTTGCATAACTGTATAAACTAAGATTTTTAAGTTTTTATGAATTATAGTTTCTCCTGTAGTATCGATATTTTTATTGAAAGATCAAATTAAGCTTTAGTTTTTCTTAAAAATATACATTGAACTCCATTCATTAAAGAAGATCTTGATGTTCTTTCATGCACTAGATATTATCCTAAATTCTACATGAAGTGTTACATGACACATACAATCTTCTATTGAAGAAAATTTTGACAATGGAGAGGAAATAAACTATTTTCAGATAGTTGCATAGGCTATGTATAAAATGAAACATGATGATGTGATATAGAAATGGACTATGTGTATGTTTAGAGGTTACTTCAGATGAAGTAACTAGAAAATATTTCTTTGAAATGTCAACATTTAAAGAAGAACCAGGCAAAGGAAGATCTGGGAGCAAAGCATTGACATTAGGGATAATAGGAAGGACACAAATGAGAATAAGCAGTACATGTTCAAGAAACAGAAAAGACAAGAGTGTGACTGGCTTGATTGTAGTGAGGGCAAAGAAGTACAGGATGTGGTGAAATGGGTGGGCAAGGACAATGACTTATATGTCTTTTGTTGACTTTGGAAAGGAGTTTTTAATTAGATCTTAAGTGCAATAAGAACTCACTAGATGGTTGTAGGTTGAAGTATATTTATTTATAAAGATAGCTTCGGCCGGGTGCGGTGGCTCACGCCTGTAATCCCAGCACTCTGGCAGGCCGAGGCAGGCAGATCACGAGGTCAGGAAATCAAGACCATCCTGGGTTAACTCGTCTCTACTAAAAAAAAATACAAAAAATTAGGCAGGCATGGTGGCGGACACCTGTAGTCCCAGCTACTTGGGAGGCTGAGGCAGGAGAATGGCGTGAACCTGGGAGGTGGAGCTTGCAGTGAGCCGAGATTGCGCCATTGCACTCCAGCCTAGGCGACAGAGGAAACTCCGTCTCAAAAAAAAAAAAAAGATAGCTTCTACGTGAGGACGGGAGAGGCTCAGAGAGAGAGCAGTCGAGCATCTATTATCACAGTCAGGGTGTGAAATAATGGCAGCCTGAGTTAATGTCATTGCAGTGAACACAGAAAGGAACTATGAAATGCAGTGTGTATCAGGAGGTAAAGCCAACAGCTTACTAATGGATTGAATGTGGTGTGTGTTAGAAAGTAAAAAAATTATAGCTGACCCCTGGGTTTTTGGTTTGAGCAAACAGGTAGAATAGTAAATCTACTCTGATGGAGAAGCCAAAGGAAATAGGTGTAAGAGTAAATACACAGATAAATAGAGAGGTTGCCTTAGCAAAGTCAATTCAATATACAGTCCTCCAAACCTCCATCTGAGGGTAAATAAATTTAAGCTGTATCAATTGACATGTGTCTGTAAACTTAATAATTATTTTCGTCTACAAATAAAAAGAAAAATAGTACATTTGGCACAGTTTCACAATAAAAATAACCTTAAAAAAAAAAACCTTTCTTAAGTGACATATCACCCCATTAGTAGCTATAGATTTTTCTCTGTCCCAATGTTAACAGAGATATAGGAGCTGCCATTTTTTCTGAAATTAAATATTTAAAATCTCTCATTTCAAAGAGTAGAATTTCCTCCTTAAGGATAATAAGAAATATTCTCAATTATTTCAATATAGTTAGAAGCAAAATCATTATCACTAATGGATCAAAATGAACTTTTCTTTCATCTTACATGTGGAGAGATGCCTTTTCAATATCTTAAAAACTTGTGGAAATTTCACCTTCCCCAAATTTACCTACACCTTGTCTTAAAATCATAGACTTATATTTATGTAGAATAATGTTATGTTGTAAGCATTGTAATAGTAATAGAAGTATCAGCGACTAGTGATTACCACATTATCCTTTTTTTGAGAAAATAGAAGAATGCAGGCCAGGGTGATGACTAAAGAAATAGGCAGGACAGAAGATCCATCAGCATTACTGAATGATTTAATATACATTATATCTAAAACTGTCTTTAAAGCATGGGTGACTTTTTTTTTTAAAGTTTGCAATATGTTATAAAATTTATTTGTGTTGTAAACATACAGAAAACACAGCTTCACATATTTGCGCTCATGAGCTTATGAAAAAAGAGAATGTATTTAGTATGGCCAGTCTTCCAACTAATCAGTGCTGGCTTCAGTAACAGGCATAATTTTGAGAATCATTTGCACATAAGGAGGAAGCCAACTTGTTGAGCTCTCAGGGGAAAGGTAGAAGAATAAATGATTTATATATTTTTTAAAACAGGTGTTTGATTAAAAGACAAGGGTAGGCATGAATATGAGGGAAGGATTTAGGGCAATAGAAATGATTGTGTCTGTGTGTGTGCATGTGCATGTGTGTATGAATTAGTAGAAGTTCCTAAATTTTGTAGCAGGACAGATACAGGGATAGAGGTAAATTAAAAACAGCTGCTTTATGCAACTAAGCAAGAAGTTTAAAGAGCAGTTATTATTACCTTTACACTACTAGTGGGGATGTAAACTAGTAAAACCACTGTGGAAAACAATGTGAAGATTCCTTAAAAAACTAAAAGTAGATCTACGATTTGATCCAGCAATCCCATCACTGGATATCCACCCAGAGGAAAAGAAGTCATTACACGAAAAAGATACTTGCACACGCACGTTTATAGCAGCACAATTTGCAAGTGCAAAATATGGAACTAGCCCAAAGGCCCATTAATCAACTCATGAATAAAGAAAATGTGGTACATATATACCATGGAATATTACTCAGCCATAAAAAAGAACAAAATAATGGCATTTGCAGCAACTTAGATGGAGTTGGAGACCATAATTCTAAGTGAAGAAACTTAGGAATGGAAAACCAAACATCCTATGTTTTCACTCATCAGTGGGAGCTATGAGGAGACAAAGGCATAAGAATGATATGGTGGACTTTGGAGACTCACAAGAAAGGGTGTGAAGGGTGTGAGGGATAAAAGACTACACAGTGGGTGCAGTGTACACTGCTTAGGTGAGAAGTGCACCAAAATCTCAGAAATCAGCACTAAAGAACTTATACATGTAATCAAACACCACCTGTTTCCCAAAAACATATTTTAAAAAATCCTTATCTTAATCACATTCACAAAGTCCCTTTTTGCCATGGAAAGTAAAATATCCATAGGTTCTGGGGCATAGGATGTGGACATCTTTAGGGGTCATTATTCTCCCTACCATATTTGATTTATTACCTGTCTGGTGAAATCTCAGAGCAGAGGCTACACTTTATTTTCATGTTCCTAGCTCCAGCACAAGGAGCTTAGTAAGCTTTTGTAGGCTGAATAAAGTGATAAGTGAAAGTTAAAAAAAAAAAAAAACTAAGTGATATGGTTTTGCTGTGTCTCCACCCAAATCTCATCTTGAATTGTAGCTCCCATAATTCCCACATGTTGTGGGAGTGACCCAGTGGGATATAACTGAATCATGGGTGTAGTTTTCCCCCACACTCTTCTTGTGGTAGTGAATAAATCTCATGAGATCTGATGGTTTTATAAGGGGAAACCCCTATTGTTTGGCTCTCATTTTCTCTTGTCTGCCACCAGGCAAGATGTGTCTTTCACTGTCCACCATGATTGTGAGACCTCTCCAGCCACATGGAACTGTGAGTCTATTAAACCTCTTTTTCTTTGTAAATTACCCAGTCTCAGGTAGGTCTTTACCAGCAGTGTAAAAACAGACTAATTCAGTAAATTGGTACCAGGTAGCGGGGTACTGTTGTAAAGATACCCGAAAGTGTGAAAGCAACTTTGGAACTGGGTAACAGACAGAAGTTAAAACAGTTTGGAGGGCTCAGAAGAGGACAGGAAAATGTAGTAAAGTTTGGAACTTCCTAGAGACTTGTTGAATGGCTTTGACCAAAATATTGATAATGATATGGACCCAATGAAATCCAGGCTGAGGTGGTCTCAGATGGAGATGAGGAACTTATTGGGAACTGGAGTAAAGTTGACACTTGCTATGTTTTAGCAAAGAGATTGGCAGCATTTTGCCCCTGCCTTAGATATTTGTGGAACTTTGAACTTGAGGGAGATGATTTAGCGTATCTAGCAGAAGAAATTTCTAAGCAGCAAAGCATTCAAGAGGTTACTTGGGTGCTGTTAAAAGCATTCAGTTTTAAAAGGGAAATAGAGCATAAAAGTTCAGAAAATTTGCAGCCTGAAGATGTGATAAAAAATAGAAAAACCCATTTTCTGAGGAGAAATTCAAGCTAGCTGCAGAAATTTGCATAAGTAATGAGGGGCCAAATGTTAATCATCAGGAAAATGGGGAAAATGTCTCCAGGGTATGTCAGAGACCTTTCTATCAGCCCCTCCCATCACAGGCCTGGAGGCCTGGGAGGAAAAACTTGTTTCATGGGCCAGGCCCAGGCACCCCCTGCTGTGTGCAGCCTAGCAATTTGGTGCCCTGCATCCCAGCCACTCTAGCCATGGCTAAAAGGGACCAAGGTGCAGCTTGGGCCATGGTTTCAGAGGGTGCAAACCCCAAGCCTTGGGAGCTTCCATGTGGTGTTGAGCCTGTGAGTGGATGCAAGTCAAGAATTGAAGATTGGGAACCTCCACCTAGATTTCAGAGGATGTATGAAATCACTTGGATGCTCAGGCAGAAGTTTGCTTCAGGGGCAGAGTTCTCATGGAAAACCTCTGCTAGGGCAGTGCAGAAGGGACATTTTTGGGTCAGAGCCTCCACATAGAGTCCCTACTGAGGCACTGACTAGTGGAGCTGTGAGAAGAGAGCCTCCAGACCCCGGAGTCACCACCTGCTGGAGCTGTGAGAACTGTCCTCCAGACCCCAGAATGGTATATCCACCTACAGCTTGCACTGTGTGCCTGGAAAAGCCACAGACACTCAATGGCAGCCCATGAAAGCAGCAGACAGGGAGGCTGTTCCCTGCAAAACCACAGGGGTGGAGCTGCCCAAGGCCTTGGGAGCCTACCTCTTTCATCAGTGTGACCTGGATATGAGACATGGAGTCAAAGGAGATTATTTTGGAGCTTTAAGGTTTGACTGCCTCGCTGGATTTCAAACTTGCATGGGGCCTGTAACCCCTTTGTTTTGGCCAATTTCTCCCATTTGGAATGGCTGTATTTACCCAATGTCTATACCCCCATTGTATCTAGGAAGTAACTAACTTGCTTTTAATTTTATAGGCTCATACACAGAAGGGACTTGCCTTGTCTCAGATGAGACTTTGGACTATGGACTTTTGAGTTAATGTTGAAATGAGTTAAGATTTTGGGGGACTCTTGGGAAGGCATAATTGGTTTTGAAATGTGAGGACATGAGATTTGGGAGGGGCCAGGGTGTAATGATATGGTTTGGCTGTGTCCCCACCCAAATCTCATCTTGAATTGTAGCTCCCATAATTCCCATGTGTTGTGGGAGGAACCTAGTGGAAGATAATTGAATCATGGGGGCGATTTCTCCCACACTGTTTTCATGGTTGTGAACAAATCTCACGAGATCTGATGGTTTTGTAAGGGGAGATCCCTTTTGCTTGTCTCTCATTTTCTCTTGCCTGCCGCCATGTAAAATGTGCCTTTTCACTGTCTGCCATGATTGAGAGGCCTCCCCAGCCATGTGGAACTGTAAGTCCATTAAACTTCCTTTTCTTTATAAATTGCCTTTATAAATTTTCTTAACAAATTCTCTTTATCAGTAGTATGAAAATGGACTAATACTGTAAGATTATTATCTAAGGAATTATCTTGTAAATTAAGTATTAAAAGGCAATTTCTATTATGTCATTTGCAATGGTATAAAGGTGTGTATAAACATGCCAGTAAAAAAGAAAAAAGGGAAGTTTTTTCAAACTGTTGAATCATAATATGGTCTGTAGAAGGGTAGGAATCATCTAGAATACTCCAGTCAATGGGATCTAAAATGGCAAAGTCAGAGAACTGAGACATAGATGTGATTGCAGAGATCTAAAACTTTTTTAAGAGAAGAGTTACCAAGAGAAAATTTAGTGAAATACACAGAGACAGTTCATAGACATATTTTAAAACCTTAATAATAACATATAGCATTTTTATGTAACTGATGTTGTAAAATCTTTAATAAGTATTCTAAGTCCATTGGGGTGGAATCTTTACAACTGCTTAGTGCACACACTTTTGGGTCCAGTGTGTGTGTATATGAAAGTAAGGTTTTTACTTATGTTGCTGCAATTTATATCTTTGCTGGTTTTTATTTTTTGCTGTTGTTGTTTCATTGTTTTAATAGTTGTACAGGTAAATGTAAACATTCATTATGGATATAATTCATCAATTTTAAACATAACATTGTTTAATTTTCTCAAATAACTGGATATCATTAGATTCATATAAATTTTTAAATTATAATATATTTCTGGTGAATTTAAGCTCATCACTATAAAATGAAACTTTTTGTTTATTGTAGTGTTTTATTCTATAAATATTATTTAATCTGACATTAATAGCCAATTCTGACATTATATTGTTTAGCATATTCTGCATGTTTTAACTTTATTTCAATTTAAAACATACATATGTAAATTTATACATTTATGTGTAAAATTTTACATATGTTTTATTTTCACCTTTTTTTTTTTTTTTGAGATGGAGTCTCGCTCTGTCGCCCAGTCTGGAGTGCAGTGGTGTGATCTTGGCTCACTGAAAGCTCCACCTCTGGGTTCATGCCATTTTCCTGCCTCAGCCTCCCAAGTAGCTGGGACTACAGGTGCCCCCCCACCACGCCCAGCTAATTTTTTTTTTGTATGTTTAGTAGAGATGGGGTTTCACCATGTTAGCCAGGATGGTCTTGATCTCCTGACCTCATGATCCACCTGCCTCCCAAAGTGCTGGGATTACAGGCGTGAGCCACCGTGCCCGGCCTATTTTCATCTTTTAAAAAGAGCATATAGTTGGTTTTGCTTTGGAATAATCCTTGTAGTTTAACCAGAGAATTTAGTCTATTCATAATTAATATAATTTCCATGTAAGTTTGATAACTAGTATCATACTTTGTGCTTTTTATATGTCTTGCCTATTCTATATTTCTTTTTCTCTTCTTTTTTCCTTTATTTGGGTTTACTGAACATTTTCAAATTCATTCTCTCCTCATCCACAATATAGAATGTATTTACTCTATTATTATCACTTTAGTTATCTGATAAATTATGATACACAAATCCCCTTACCAAAATGTAAAATTAATCAATCATGTCCTTCTCCTCCTAAACTAGAGAAGACTCTCAGAATACTGCTATATAACTCACTTTCCTGGCTGACATGTAACTGTTGTCATATAATTTAATTCTTATTTTACGCTGGGCTACACAACAATTTAAATACTATTTATTCTATATAGTTAATATTTACTTAAATTTTCCCATATAGTTTCTAAATTTTTTAAATTTTTCTTTAATCTAAAATCTACCATTTGAGATTTCTTTCATTCTTCCTGAGATACCTTGTTTTATGTTTCTTTTAGTGTGATCTGCTGGTGGAAAACTTTCTGATTTTTTCGTTTTTTAATATGAAAATAGTTGTATTTTGCTTTATTTCTTGAAACATATATTTAATGGGTTTAGATTCTGCATTTAGAGTTAGTTTTTTGAAGGTGTCACTCCACTGGCATAGCCCTTCTATTTTTGCTGTTGTAAAATCATTCAAATTTTATTATTTGCCAGTAATCTGTAAAATCTCCATCCCTCCCTCTCTCATCCCTAACTTTAATTTTTTTTTTGGTTTTGAGTTTATGTTTATGCAATGTTAGTATAATACAGCTGGATGTGGATTATGAATTTTTTATTTAGTTACTTAAATTACTGTGGACTTGATGGCTTTATGGAATAATATCTTTTATGAGTTAGTAAAATTATAAGCCACTGTCTTTTCAAATAATAATTTTTGGTCTGATTTTCTCTCTCTCTTTCTTCTTCCAGAATTCCACATGGATAGATATATTAAGCTATCTCAAACTGTCCCAGATGTATCCTAACTTCTAATTTTTCATCTTTCATCTACTTATGTCAGAATTCTAAAATTTTTCTTGTAGTGAATGAGAGACAACACACAACATAAATGATCTATCCTGGTGGAAGCCATCCTAGGCAAACTGTCTAGATGACTTGTTAGCTGACTGCAGTCCCATGAGAAAGCCCAGCTGAGACTCAAAGAACCAACCTAGTCCAGCCCAAACTGCTAATCCACAGAATTTATGAGCTAAATAGATGATTGCTAAGACATTATGTTTAGAGTGTTTTACTGTACAGCAATAAGTAATTGCTACAAACTTCCCCAATCTCAATGACTTGAAACAATGTACAATTATTATTTCTCACATTGTTATGGGTCTGCTTGAATGATATACTGGTGTGGCTCACACTCAATTGATCATAGCTTTTTAGTCAGCTAGCAGGTTGGCAGAGAACTGACTGGCCTAAGATGGCTTCATGCACATATATGGTAGCAATCTTGTTCTTAGAGCCATCAGTGACTAGGCCATGTGTATCTTGTCATCCAACAAGCTACTCTGGGAAAGATCACCGAGAAGGATTCCAATAGAGACATGTGTGCAAAGTCTCCTGAATCTTAGAACTGGAACACTGTCACTTCTGCTGCATTCTATAAGCCATAGCAAATCACGAGGATAGCCTATATTCAAAGAATGAGGATACAGACTCCACTGTTGTTACTAGAATTATGAATACACAGTGGACACATAAGCTCAGAGTGTTAAATAACTGGGGCCATTTTGTAATCTAATGTAGTTTGCAATATTGCCAAAGTGAGAAATACAACTCAGCCTTTCTAGAAATTATTTCAAACATCTTTCCATTATAAAATAATGCTTAATTCTGGTATTTATCTTTACATTCATACTTGAGGAGTAAAAGTTTGTTTATTGAAACTGTGTGCTCTTCCATATTCCCATCAATTTCTGAATTGCTATTGAATGGTGTTGACTGACTATTCAGTATGCTGGTGTATGTAGAACACTGCGACAAAATTAGAGAGAAACTGAACATGTGCTGAGTTAATTAGTTCATGATTTGAAGAGGCAACACATTAATAATTTTAGTCTTTATTACACATACAATTTCAAAAGTTGCAAAAATAACTTTAAAAAGATATAAAAGATGGTTTGTTGAAGGCAGTAGAGAGCTAATATTTTATGATGTTTTGGAAGAAAATTATATCACATATGTGGCAATTAGAGAAAATCTCACAGTGAGCCCTAGCAATTTTGAAAATGAAAACAGGAAGAGAACTGCAGGCTGCATGGGTACTGAATCTTTTTCAAAAGCTAATCAGTCCTGGTATTTCTACTGCCCTTGGCCAAACATTGCATTAATGAGAATAATCATTGTAATCCATTACATTTGCAGAGCTCTTTCACATACTTCCTCTTGCTTTATCCTGAGAACTATCTTTTGAGGAAGACACCATAGCATATTATAGATGATGAAACTGCCATTTTGAAACAAGTCTATAGCCAAATGAATACTTAAACTCAGGACTTCTCTATTCTCCTTCAGTGCCTTTTTACTACGTCAAGCTGCCTAAAAACTATGTCATTAAGATATTCAGGTAAGGTTTTTATGGTTTTAGGTCTAACGTTTAACTCTTTAATCCATCTTGAATTGATTTTTGCATAAGGTGTAAGGAAGGGATCCAGTTTCAGCTTTCTACATATGGCTAGCCAGTTTTCCCAGCACCATTTATTAAATAGGGAATCCTTTCCCCATTGCTTGTTTTTCTCAGGTTTGTCAAAGATCAGATAGTTGTAGATATGCGGCGTTATTTCTGAGGGCTCTGTTCTGTTCCATTGATCTATATCTCTGTTTTGGTACCAGTACCATGCTGTTTTGGTTACTGTAGCCTTGTAGTATAGTTTGAAGTCAGGTAGTGTGATGCCTCCAGCTTTGTTCTTTTGGCTTAGGATTGACTTGGCGATGCGGGCTCTTTTTTGGTTCCATATGAACTTTAAAGTAGTTTTTTCCAATTCTGTGAAGAAAGTCATTGGTAGCTTGGTGGGGATGGCATTGAATCTATAAATTACCTTGGGCAGTATGGCCATTTTCACGATATTGATCCTTCCTACCCATGAGCATGGAATGTTCTTCCATTTGTTTGTATCCTCTTTTACTTCCTTGAGTAGTGGTTTGTAGTTCTCCTTGAAGAGGTCCTTCACGTCCCTTGTAAGTTGGATTCCTAGGTATTTTATTCTGTTTGAAGCAATTGTGAATGGGAGTTCACTCATGATTTGGCTCTCTGTTTGTCTGTTGTTGGTGTATAAGAATGCTTGTGATTTTTGTACATTGATTTTGTATCCTGAGACTTTGCTGAAGTTGCTTATCAGCTTAAGGAGATTTTGGGCTGAGACAATGGGGTTTTCTAGATATACAATCATGTCGTCTGCAAACAGGGACAATTTGACTTCCTCTTTTCCTAATTGAATACCCTTTATTTCCTTCTCCTGCCTAATTGCCCTGGCCAGAACTTCCAACACTATGTTGAATAGGAGTGGTGAGAGAGGGCATCCCTGTCTTGTGCCAATTTTCAAAGGGAATGCTTCCAGTTTTTTCCCATTCAGTATGATATTGGCTGTGGGTTTGTCATAGAGAGCTCTTATTATTTTGAAATACGTCCCATCAATACCTAATTTATTGAGAGTTTTTAGCATGAAGGTTGCTGAATTTTGTCAAAGGCTTTTTCTGCATCTATTGAGATAATCATGTGGTTTTTGTCTTTGGCTCTGTTTATATGCTGGATTACATTTATTGATTTGCGTATATTGAACCAGCCTTGCAGGCATTACCATTCAGGACATAGGCATGGGCAAGGACTTCCTGTCTAAAACACCAAAAGCAATGGCAACAAAAGACAAAATTGACAAATGGGATCTAATTAAACTAAAGAGCTTCTGCAGAGCAAAAGAAACTACCATCAGAGTGAACAGGCAACCTACAAAATGGGAGAACATTTTCACAACCTACTCATCTGACAAAGGGCTAATATCCAGAATCTACAATGAACTCCAACAAATTTACAAGAAAAAAACAAACAACTCCATCAAAAAGTGGGCGAAGGACATGAACAGACACTTCTCAAAAGAAGACATTTATGCAGCCAAAAAACACGTGAAAAAGTGCTCATCATCACTGGCCATCAGAGAAATGCAAATCAAAACCACAATGAGATACCATCTCACACCAGTTAGAATGGCAATCATTAAAAAGTCAGGAAACAACAGGTGCTGGAGAGGATGTGGAGAAATAGGAACACTTTTACACTGTTGGTGGGACTGTAAACTAGTTCAACCATTGTGGAAGTCAGTGTGGCAATTCCTCAGGGATCTAGAACTAGAAATACCATTTGACCCAGCCATCCCATTACTGGGTATATACCCAAAGGACTATAAATCATGCTGCTATAAAGACACATGCACACGTATGTTTATTGTGGCATTATTCACAATATAAAAGACTTGGAACCAACCCAAATGTCCAACAATGATAGACTGGATTAAGAAAATGTGGCACATATACACCATGGAATACTATGCAGCCATAAAAAATGATGAGTTCATGTCCTTTGTAGGGACATGGATGAAATTGGAAATCATCCTTCTCAGTAAACTATCGCAAGAACAAAAAACCAAACACCGCATGTTCTCACTCATAGGTGGGAATTGAACAATGAGATCACATGGACACAGGAAGGGGAATATCACACTCTGGGGACTGTGGTGGGGTGGGGGGAGGGGGGAGGGATAGCATCGGGAGATATACCTAATGCTAGATGACGAGTTAGTGGGTGCAGCGCAGCAGCATGGCACATGTATACATATGTAACTAACTTGTACAATGTGCACATGTACCCTAAAACTTAAAGTATATTAAAAAAAAAAAGATATTCAGGTAAGAAGAAAACATTGGGGTGGTAAGGCTTATTGTTTTGGAGTTGTCTAGAAAAATATCAGTGGTTTAGATTAAGAATCTTCTTGTTCTGTATAACTTGCATATGCTCAGCCAAGCACTGAGAGTTTTAAGATCCCAATGAGATATTTGGTGAAATGGAAAAGATATATCTAAAGCACTAAAAGGTATTTAACTTCCATCTTTATGAGTAAATCTATCCTGAATTCTTAGTATAACACAATTCAAGTAAAACATAAACACTTTAATGTTTCTTAGCTAGTGAA